>NT_187426.1:0-4055 GCF_000001405.40 Homo sapiens
TTCTTTGGAACGGGATTATCTTCACAAAAAACTAGACAGAAGCATTCTCAGAAACTTTTTTGTGATGTGTGCATTCAACTCACAGAGTTGAAATTTTCTTTTGATAGAGGAGATTGGAAACAATCTTTTTGTAGAATTTGGAAGTGGATATTTGGAGAGATTGGAGGCCTTCGCTGGAAACGGGTATATCTTCACATAAAAACCACACAGAAGCATTGTAAGAAACTTCTTTGTGATGCTTCCATTCAACTCACAGAATTGAACATTCCTTTTCATAGAGCAGTTTTGAAACACTTTTTGTAGAATGTGTAAGTGGAAACTTGGAGGGCTTTGAGGTCTATGATAAAAAAGGAAATATCTTCCCATAAAAAATAGACATAAAAATTCTCAGAAACTTCTTTGTGAGGTGTGTACTCAACTCACAGAGTTGAACTTTTCTTTTGATAGAGCAGTTTTGAAACACGCTTTTTGTAGAATCTGCAAGAGGATATTTGGATAGCTTTGAGGATTTCGTAGGAAACGGGAATGCCTTCACATAAAAACTAGACAGAAGCATTCTCAGAAACTTCTTTGTGATGTTTGCATTCAACTCACAGATTTGAAAATTCCCTTACATAGAGCAGTTTTGAAACACACTTTTTGTAGTATCTGGAAGTGGACATTTGGAGCGATTTGAGGCCTATGGTGAAAAAGGAAATATCTTCACATAAAAACTAGTCAGAAGAATTATCAGAGACTTCTTTGTGATGTGTGTACTCAATTCACAGAGTTGAACTTTATTTTGATAGACCAATTTTGAAACAATCTTTTTGTAGTATCTGCAAGTGGATATTTGGATAGCTTTGAGGATTTCCGTGGAAACGGGAATATCCTCACATAAAAACTAGAAAGAAGCATTCTCAGAAACTTCTTTTTGATGTTTGCATTCAACTCATGGAGTTGAACATTCCTTTTCATAGGGCAGTTTTGAAACACACTTTTTGTAGAATCTGCAAGTGGACGTTTGGAGCTCTTTGAGGTGTATTGTGATAAAGGAAATATCTTCCCATAAAAATTACACACAAGAATTCACAGAAACTTCTTTGTGATATGTGTACTCAACTCACAGAGTTTAACAATTTTTTTGATAGAGGAGATTTGAAACACTCGTTTTCTGGAATCTGCAGGTGGACATTTGGAGCGCTTTGTGGCCTTCGTTCGAAACGGGAATATCTTCACATAAAAACTAGACAGAAGCGTTCTCAGAAACTTCTTTGTGATGTTTGCATTCAACTCACAGAGTTGAACATTCCCTTTCATAGAGTAGTTTTGTAACACTCTTTTTGCAGTATTTGGAAGTGGACATTTGGAGCGCTTTGAGGCCTATGGTGAAAAAGGAAATATCTTCACATAAAAACTAGACAGAAGCATGCTAAGAAACTGCTTTGTGATGTGTGTACTCAACTCACAGTGTTAAACCTTTCCTTTGAAAGAGCACTTTTGAAACACTTCTTGTAGAATTCATAAGTGGATATTAGGACATCTTTGAGGCTTTCGTTGGAAACGGTAATATCTTCACATAAAAACCAGACAGAAGCATTCTCAGAAACTTCTTTGTGACGTTTGCATTCAACTCTCAGAGTTGAACATTTCTTTTCATAGAACAGTTTTGAAACACTCTTTTTGCAGAATCTGCAAGTTGTCATTTGTAGCACTTTGAGGCCTTCGTTCGAAACGGGAATATCTCCACATAAAAACTAGACAGAATCATTATCAGAAACATCTTTATGTTCACAGATGTTGAACCTTTCTTTTGATACAGCAGTTTTGAAACACTCTTTTTGTAGAATCTGCAAGTGGATCTTTGGATAGCGCTAAATATTTCTTTGGAAACGGGAATATCTTCATATAAAATCTCGACAGAAGCACTCTCAGAAACCGCTTTGTGATATCCGCATTCAAGTCACAGATTTGAACATCATTCCCTTTCATAGAGCAGGTTTGAAACACTCTTTTTGTAGTATCTGGAAGTGGATATTTGGAGCGTTTTGATGCCTTCGGTGAAAAAGGAAATATCTTCCCATAAAAACTAGACAGAAGCATTCTCAGAAACCGGTTTGTGATATATGTACTCAACTAACAGAGTTGAAATTTTCTTTTGACAGACCAGTTTTGAAACACTCTTTTTGTCGAATCTGGAAGTGGATATTTGGATAGCCTTGAGGATTTCGTTGGAAACGGGAATATCTTCCTATAAAACCTAGACAGAAGCATTCCCAGAAACTTCTTGTGATGTTTTCATTCAATTCGTAGAGATAAACATTCCCTTTCATAGAGCAGGTTTGAAACACTCTTTTTTGTAGTATCTGGAATTGGACATTTGGAGCGCTTTGACGCCTATGGTGAAAAAGGAAATATCTTCCATTAAAAACTGGACAGAAGCATTCTCAGAAACCTGTTTGGGATGTGTGTACTCAATTAACAGAGTTGAACCTTTCTTTTTACAGAGCAGTTTTGAAACACTCTTTTTGTAGAATCGGCAAGGGGATGTTGGATGGCTTTGTGGATTTCGTTGGAAACGGGAATATCTTCATATAAAATCTACATAGAAGCATTCTCAGAAAACTCTTTGTGATGTGTGTCCCAACTAACAGAGTTGAACCTTGCTGTTCATAGAGGAGTTTTGAAACACTCTTTTTGTGGAATCTACAAGTGGATACTTGGATTGCTTTGAGGATTTCATTGGAAACGGGAATTCATATAAAAAGTAGACAGCAGCATTCTCAGAAATTTCTTTTTGATGTTTGCTTTCAACTCATAGAGTTGAACATTTCCTTTCATAGAGCAGGTTTGAAACACACTTTTTGTAGTATGTGCAAGTGGATATTTCGAGCACTTTGTCGCCTATTGTGAAAAAGGAAATATCTTCCAATAAAAAAAAGACAGAAGCATTCTCAGAAACTTGTTTGTGATGTGTTACCTCAACTAACAGAGTTGAACCTTTCTTTTGACAGAGCAGGTTTGAAACACTCTTTTTGAAGAATCTGTAAGTGGAAATTTGGATAGCTTAGAGGGTTTCGTTGGAAACGGGAATACCTTCATACAAAATCTAGACAGAAGCATTCTCAGAAACTTCTTCATGATCTTTTCATTCAACTCGTAGAGTTGAACATTCAATTTCATAGAGCCGGGTTGAAACACCCTTTTTGTAGTATCGGGAAGTGGACATTAGGAGTGCTTTGACGCCTATGGTGAAAATGGAAATATCTTCCCATAAAAACTAGACAGAAGGATTCTCAGAAATATGTTTGTGATGTGCGTACTCACCTAACAGAGTGGAACCTTTCTTTTTACAGAGCAGCTTAGAAACTCTATTTCCGTGGAATCTGCAAGTTGATATTTGGATTGCTTTAACGATATTCCTGGAAACGGGAATATCTTCATACAAAATCTAGAGAGAAGCATTCTCAGAAACTTCTTTCTGATGTCTGTCCTCAACTAACAGAGTTGAACCTTTCTTTTGATGCAGCAGTTTGGAAACACTCTTTTTGTAGAAACTGTAAGTGGATATTTGGATAGGTCTAACGATATCGTTGGAAACGGGAATATCTTCATCTAAAGTATACACAGAAGCACTCTCAGAAACTACTTTGTGATATCTGCATTCAAGTCACAGAGTTGAACATTCCCTTTCTTAGAGCAGGTTTGAAAACTCATTTTGTAGAATCTGGAAGTGGACATTTGGAGCGCTTTGACGCCTTTGGTGAAAAAGGAAATGTCTTCCCATAAAAACTAGACAGAAGCATTCTAACAAACTTCTTTGTGATGTATGTACTCAACCAACAGAGTTGAACTTTTCTATTTATAGATCAGTTTTCAAACACTCCTTTTGTGGAATGTGCAAGTGGATAATTGGATAGCTTTGAGGATTTCGTTAGAAACGGTACGACATAAAAAAGAAGACAGCAGAATTCTAAGAAGCTTCTTTGTGATGTTTGCTTTTAAGTCACAGAATTGAAAATTTCCTTTCATAGAGCAGGTTTGAAACACTCTTTCTGTACTAACTGGAAGGGGAC
>NT_187427.1:0-2415 GCF_000001405.40 Homo sapiens
AAAATATCTTCATATGATAACTTGACAGAAGCATTCTAAGAAACTTCTTTGTGATGTATGTACTCGTCCCACAGAGTTGAACCTTTCTTTTGATTTAGCAGTCTGGAAGCACTCTTTTTGTAAAATCTGCAAGTGGACATTTTGTGCACTTTTAGGCCTATGGTAAAAAGGAAATATCTTCACATAAAAACTAGACAGAAGCATTTTGATAACTTTCTTTGCAATATGTGCATTCATATCACAGAGTTGAGCCTTAATTTGATTTAGCAGTTTTGAAGCACCCTTTTGATAATACCTGTGATTGGACATTTGGAGTGCTTTGATGCCTTTGGTGGAAAAGGAAATATCTTCACATAAGAACTAGACAGACGCATTCTGACAAACTTCTTTGTGATGTGTGCATTCATCTCAGATAGTTGAACATTTATTTTGATTGAACAGCTTTGAAAACCTCTTTTGTGGAATCTGCAAGTGGACATTGGGAGTGCTTTGAGGCCTATGGTAGAAAAGAAAATATCTTCACATAAAAACTAGACAGAAGCATTCTGACAAACATCTTTGTGATGTGTGCATTCATCTCACAGAGTTGAACCTAACTTTTGACTGAGCAGTTTTGAAACACTCTTTTTGTAGAATCTACAAGTGGACATTTAGAGTGCTTTGAGGCCTATGGTGGATAAAGAAATATCATCACACAAAATATAGACAGAAGCAATCTTGGAAATTTCTTTGTGATGTGTGCATTCATCTCACAGAGTTAAACCTTTCTTTTGATTGAGCAGTTTTGAAACACTCTTTCTGTAGAATCTGCAAGTGGATATTCGGAGTGCTTTGAGGCCTATGGTGGAAAAGGTAATATCTTCACATAAAAACTACGCAGAAACATTCTAAGAAAGTTCTTTGTGATGTGTGCATTCAACTCTAAGATTTGAACCTATCTTTTGACTGAGCTGTTTTGAAACAATCTTTTTGTAGAATCTGCAAGGGGATATTTAGAGCGATTTGAGGCCTATTGTGGAAAAGGAAATATCGTCACATAAAAACTACAGAAAAGCATTCTACGAAAGTTCTTTGTGATGTGTGCATTCAATTCTCAGAGTTGAACCTATCTTTTGATAGAGCAGTTTTGAAACTCTCTTTTTGTAGAATTTGCAAGTGGATATTTGGATTCCTTTGCGGCCTACAGTGGAAAAGGAAATATCTTAACATAAAAACTACACAGAAGCATTCTGAGAAACTACTTTGTGATGTGTGCATTCACATCACAGTGTTGAACATTTCTTTTGATTGTGCAGTTTGGAGACACTCTTTTACTAGTATCTGCAAGTGGATATTTCGAGCCCTTGTAGGCCTATTGTGGAAAAGGAAATATCTTCACATAAAAACTACACAGAAGCATTTTGAGAAACTCCTGTGTGATGTGTGAATTCATCTTACAGACTTGAACCTGTCTTTTGATTGAGCAGTTTTGAAACACTCTTTTTGTAGAATCTGCAAGTGGATATTTGCATCACTTTGAGGCCTATGGTGGAAAAGGAAATATCTTCCCAAAAAACCTACACAGAAGCATTCTCAGAAACTTCTTTGTGATGTGTGCGTTCATCTCACAGAGTTGAAACTTTCTTTTGATTGAGCAGTTTAGAAACACTCTTTCATAGAATCTGCAAGTGCATACTTGGAGCGTTTTGAGGCACATGGTGGAAAAGGAAATATCTTCCCATAAAAACTACAAAGAAGCATTCTGAGAAACTTCTTTATGATATGTGCATTGAACGCAGAGAGTTGAATCTATCTTCTGATACAGCAATTTTTAAAATCACTTTTTGTAGAATCTGGAAGTGGATATTTGGAGCGTTTTGTATCCTATGGTGGAAAAGGAAATATCTTTCCATAAATGCTACACAGAAGTATTCTGAGGAACTACTTTGTGATGTGTGCATTCAAGTCATAGAGCTGAACCTATCTTTTGATAGAGCAGTAGTGAAAATCTCTTTTTGTAGAATCAGCAAGTGGATATTTGGAAACCTTTGCAGGCTATGGTGGAAAACTAAATATCTTCTTATAAAAACTTCACAGAAGCATTCTGAGAAACTTTTTTGTGATGTATGCATTCATCTCACGGAGTTGAACCTCTCTTTCAATTGAGAAGTTTGGAAACACTATTTTTGTAGAATCTGCAAATGGATATATGGAGGGCTTGGGGCCTATTGTGGAAAAGGAAATATCTTCCCATGAAAACTACACAGAGGCATTCTGAGAAACTTCCTTGTGAGGTGTACATTCAACTCACCAATTTGAACATTTCTTTGGATTTAGCAGTTTGGAAACACTCTTTTTGTAGAATCTGCAAGTAGTTATTTGGATCGATTTGGAGCCTATGTGGGAAAGGAAATATCTTCACATAAAAACTACACA
>NT_187428.1:0-2318 GCF_000001405.40 Homo sapiens
ATGAGATGAACGCAGACATCACAAAGATATTTATCTGTATACATCTGCCTAGTTTTTATGTGAGGATATTTCCTTTTCCAAATATCCACTTGCAGATTCTACAAAAAGATTTTCAAACTCCTCAATCAAAAGAAAGGTTTACCTCTTTGAGGTGAATGCACACATCACAAAGAAGATTTTGAGATTACTTCTGTCTAGATTTTATGTGAAGATATTTAATTTTCTGCCATTGGCCACAACGATCTCCAAATATCCACTTACAAATTATACAAAAAGAGTGTTTCCATACTGCTAAATCAAAAGAAAGGTTCAACTCTGTGAGATGAACACACACATCATGAAGAAGTTTCTCAGAATTCTTCTGTCTAGTTTTTATGTGAAGATATTTCCTTTTCCACCACAGGCCTCAAGGCGCTTGAAATGTCCACTTGCAGATTCTACAGAAAGAGCGTTTCAAAACTGGTCCATCAACGGAAATGTTCTTCTCTGGGAGATGAATGCGCATATCACAAAATGTTTCTCAGAATGCTTCTATCTAGTTTTTATGTGAAGATATTTCCTTTTCCACTATTGGCGTCAAAGCGTCCCAAATGTCATCTTGCAGATTCAACAAAAGAGAGTTTCAGAACTGCTCAAACCAAAGAGAGAGTTAACTCTGTGAGATGAATGCACACATCACAAAGAAGTTTCTAAGATTGCTTCTGTCTAGATTTTATGTGAAGATATTTCCTTTTCTAACGTCAGCCACAAAGTGCTACAAATGTCCACTTGCAGATCCTTCAAAAAGAGAGTTAAAGACTTCTCAATCAAAAGGAAGGTTTAACTCTGTGAGGTGAATGCACACATCACAAATAAGTTTCTCAGACTGCTTCTCTCTAGATTTTATGTAAAGATATTTCCTTTTCTACCTTAGGCCGCAAAGCGCTCCAAATATCCACTTGCAGATTCTACAAAATAGTGTTTCCAAACTGCTCAATCAAAAGAAAGGTTCAAATCTGTAAGGTGAAGACACACATCACAAAGAAGTTTCTCGGAATTCTTCTGTCTAGTTTTTATGTGAAGATATTTCCTTTTCCACCATAGGCCTTTAAGTGCTCCAAATGTTCACTTGCAGATTCTACAAAAGAGAGTTTCAAAACTGCTCTATCAAAAGAAATTTTTAACTCTGTGAGATGAATGCACACATTACAAAGAAGTTTCACAGATTGCTTCTGTATAGATTTTATGTGAGGATATTTCTTTTTCTACCATATGCCACAAAGTACTCCAAATGTCCACTTGCAGATTCAACAAAAAGAGTGTTTCCACACTGCTCAATCAAAAAAAGATTCAACTCAGTGAGATGAACACACGCATCACAAAGAAGTTTCTCATAATTCTCCTGTGTAGTTTTTAAGTGAAGATAATTTATTTTCCACAATAGGTCACAGGGCACTCCCATTTTCCACTTGCAGATACTACAAAAAGAGAGTTCCAAATCTGCTCCATCAAAAAAAAGATCAACTCTGTGAGATGAACGCACACATCACAAAGAAGTTTCTCAGATTGCTTCTGTCTAGATTTTATGTTAAGATATTTCCTTTTCTACCATAGGCCACAAAGCCCTCCAAATGTCCACTTGCAGATTCTACAAAAAGAATGTTTTGAAACTGCTCAATCAAAAGAAATGTTCAACTCTTTGAGATGAATGCACACATCACAAACAAATTTCTCAGATAGCTTCTGTATAGATTTTAGGTGAGAGTATTTAATTTTCTAACATAGGCCGCAAGAAGCTCCAAATATCCACTTGCGGATTCTACAAAAAGCGAGTTTCAAAACTGCTCTATCAAAAGATAGGTTAAAATCTGTGACTTGAATGCACAGCTAACAACGAAGTTTCCCAGAAAGTTTCTGTGTAGTTTTTATCTGAAGATATTTCCTTTTCCAAAATAGACCACAAAGCTTTTCAAATATCCACTTCCAGATTCTACAAAAAGAGTGTTTCCAAATTACTCAGTCAAGAGAGAGATTCAACACTTTGTGATGAATGCACTCATCACAAAGACTTTTCCCGGAATGATTCTTTTTAGTTTTTATTTGAAGATATTTCCTTTTCCACTGTAGGCCACAAAGGGCTCCAAATATCCACCTGCAGATGCTACAAAAAGAGAGATTCAAAACTGCTCAATCAAAAGATAGGTTCAACTCTGTGAGTTGAAGGCACACATCACAAAGTATTTTCTCAGAATGCCTCTGTGTAGTTTTTATGTGAAGATATTTCCTTTTCCACAATAGCCTCAAATCGCTCCAAATATCCAATTGCAGATTCTGCAAAA
>NT_187429.1:0-2186 GCF_000001405.40 Homo sapiens
TTAGCAGTTTTGAGCACCCTTTTGATAATACCTGTGATTGGACATTTGGAGTGCTTTGATGCCTTTGGTGGAAAAGGAAATATCTTCACATAAGAACTAGACAGACGCATTCTGACAAACTTCTTTGTGATGTGTGCATTCATCTCAGAGAGTTGAACATTTATTTTGATTGAACAGCTTTGAAAACCTCTTTTGTGGAATCTGCAAGTGGACATTGGGAGTGCTTTGAGGCCTATGGTAGAAAAGGAAATATCTTCACATAAAAACTAGACAGAAGCATTCTGACAAACATCTTTGTGATGTGTGCATTCATCTCACAGAGTTGAACCTAACTTTTGATTGAGCAGTTTGGAAACACTCTTTTTGTAGAATCTACAAGTGGACATTTAGAGTGCTTTGAGGCCTATGGTGGATAAAGAAATATCATCACACAAAATATAGACAGAAGCAATCTTGGAAATTTATTTGTGATGTGTGCATTCATCTCACAGAGTTAAACCTTTCTTTTGATTGAGCAGTTTTGAAACACTCTTTCTGTAGAATCTGCAAGTGGATATTCGGAGTGCTTTGTGGCCTATGGTGGAAAAGGTAATATCTTCACATAAAAACTACGCAGAAGCATTCTAAGAAAGTTCTTTGTGATGTGTGCATTCAACTCTAAGATTTGAACCTATCTTTTGACTGGGCAGTTTTGAAACACTCTTTTTGTAGAATCTGCAAGGGGATATTTAGAGCGATTTGAGGCCTATTGTGGAAAAGGAAATATCTTCACATAAAAACTACAGAAAAGCATTCTACGAAAGTTCTTTGTGATGTGTGCATTCAATTCTCAGAGTTGAACCTATCTTTTGATAGAGCAGTTTTGAAACTCTCTTTTTGTAGAATTTGCAAGTGGATATTTGGATTCCTTTGTGGCCTACGGTGGAAAAGGAAATATCTTAACATAAAAACTACACAGAAGCATTCTGAGAAACTACCTTGTGATGTGTGAATTCACATCACAGTGTTTAACATTTCTTTTGATTGTGCAGTTTGGAAACACTCTTTTACTAGTATCTGCAAGTGGATATTTCGAGCCCTTGTAGGCCTATTGTGGAAAAGGAAATATCTTCACATAAAAACTACACAGAAGCATTTTGAGAAACTCCTGTGTGATGTGTGAATTCATCTTACAGACTTGAACCTGTCTTTTGATTGAGCAGTTTTGAAACACTCTTTTTATAGACTCTGCAAGTGGATATTTGCATCACTTTGAGGCCTATGGTGGAAAAGGAAATATCTTCCCAAAAAACCTACACAGAAGCATTCTCAGAAACTTCTTTGTGATGTGTGCATTCATCTTACAGAGTTGAAACTTTCTTTTGATTGAGCAGTTTAGAAACACTCTTTCATAGAATCTGCAAGTGGATACTTGGAGCGTTTTGAGGCCCATGGTGGAAAAGGAAATATCTTCCCATAAAAACTACAAAGAAGCATTCTGAGAAACTTCTTTATGATATGTGCATTGAACGCAAAGAGTTGAACCTATCTTCTGATACAGCAATTTTTAAAATCACTTTTTATAGAATCTGGAAGTGGATATTTGGAGCGTTTTGTATCCTATGGTGGAAAAGGAAATATCTTTCCATAAATGCTACACAGAAGTATTCGGAGTAACTACTTTGTGATGTGTGCATTCAACTCATAGAGCTGAACCTATCTTTTGATAGAGCAGTTTTGAAAATCTCTTTTTGTAGAATCAGCAAGTGCATATTTGGAAACCTTTGCAGGCTATGGTGGAAAACTAAATATCTTCTTATAAAAACTTCACAGAAGCATTCTGAGAAACTTTTTTGTGATGTATGCATTCATCTCATGGAGTTGAACCTCTCTTTCAATTGAGAAGTTTGGAAACACTCTTTTTGTGGAATCTGCAAATGGATATATGGAGGGCTTGAGGCCTATTGTGGAAAAGGAAATATCTTCCCATGAAAACTACACAGAGGCATTCTGAGAAACTTCCTTGTGAGGTGTACATTCAACTCACCGATTTGAACCTTTCTTTGGATTTAGCAGTTTGGAAACACTCTTTTTGTAGAATCTGCAAGTAGTTATTTTGATCGATTTGGAGCCTATGTGGGAAAGGAAATATCTTCACATAAAAACTACACAGAAATATTCTGAGAAATTTCTTTGTGATGTGTGCA
>NT_187430.1:0-1951 GCF_000001405.40 Homo sapiens
CTTCCAGTATGTGATCAATTTTGGAATAGGTGTGATGCAGTGCTGAAAAAAATGTATATTCTGTTGATTTGGGGTGGAGATTTCTGTAGATGTCTATTAGGTATGCTTGGTGCAGAGCTGAGTTCAATTCCTGGGTATCCTTGTTGATGTTCTGTCTCGCTGATCTGTCTAATGTTGACAGTGCTGTGTTAAATTATCCCATTATTAATGTGAGGGAGTCTAAGTCTCTTTGTAGGTCACTCAGGACTTGCTTTATGAATCTGGGTGCTCCTGTATTGGGTGCATATATATTTAGGATAGTTAGCTCTTCTTGTTGAATTGATCCCTTTACCATTAAGCAGTGGCCTTCTTCGTCTCTTTTGATTTTTGTTGGTTTAATGTCTGTTTTATCAGAGACTAGGATTGCAACCCCTGTCTTTTTTTGTTTTCCATTTACTTGGTAGATCTTCCTCCATCGTTTTATTTTGAGCCTATGTGTGTCTCTGCACGTGAGATGGGTTTCCTGAATGGAGCACACTGATGGGTCTTGACTCTTTATCCAATTTGCCAGTCTGTGTCTTTTAATTGGAGCATTTAGTCCATTTACATTTAAAGTTAATATTGTTATGTGTGAATTTGATCCTGTCATCATGATGTTAGCTGGTTATTTTGCTCGTTAGTTGATGCAGTTTCTTCCTAGTCTCGAAGGTCTTTACATTTTGGCATGATTTTGCAGCGGCTGGTACCAATTGTTCCTCTCCATGTTTAGTGCTTCCTTCAGGAGCTCTTTTAGGGCAGGCCTGGTGGTGACAAAATCTCTCAGCATTTGCTTGTCTGTAAAGGATTTTATTTCTCCTTCACTTATGAAGTTTAGTTTGTCTGGATGTGAAATTCTGGGTTGAAAATTCTTTTCTTTAAGAATGTTGAATATTGGCCCCCACTATCTTCTGGCTTGTAGAGTTTCTGCAGAGGGATCTGCTGTTAGTCTAATGGGCTTTCCTTTGAGGGTAACCCGACCTTTCTCTTTCGCTGCCCTTAACATTTTTTCATTCATTTCAACTTTGGTGAATCTGACAATTATGTGTCTTGGAGTTGCTCATCTCGAGGAGTATCTTTGTGGCATTCTCTGTTTTTCCTGAATCTGAATGTTGGCCTGCCTCGCTAGATTGGGGAAGTTCTCCTGGATAATATCCTGCAGAGTGTTTTCCAACTTGGCTCCATTCTCCCCGTCACTTTCAGGTACAACAATCAGACGTAGATTTGGTCTTTTCTCATAGTCCCATATTTCCTGGAGGCTTTGCTCGTTTCTTTTTATTCTTTTTTCTCTAAACTTCCCATCTCGCTTCATTTCATTCACTTCATCTTCCATTGCTGATACCCTTTCTTCCAGTTGATCGCATTGTCTCCTGAGGCTTCTGCATTCTTCATGTACTTCTCGAGCCTTGGCTTTCAGCTCCATCAGCTCCTTTAAGCACTTCTCTGTATTTGTTATTCTAGTTATACATCCCTCTAAATTTTTTTCAACGTTTTCAAATTCTTTGCCTTTGGTTTGAGTGTTCTTCTGCAGCTCAGAGTAGTTTGATCATCTGAAGCCTTCTTCTCTCAGCTAGTCAAAGTCATTCTCCATCCAGCTTTGTTCCATTGCTGATGAGGAACTGCGTTCCTTTGGAGGAGGAGAGGCACTCTACTTTTTAGAGTTTCCAGTTTTTCTGCTCTGATTTTTCCCCATCTTTGTGGTTTTATCTACTTTTGGTCTTTGATGATGGTGATGTACTGATGGGTTTTTGTTGTGGATGTCCTTTCTGTTTGTTAGTTTTCCTTCTAACAAAGAGAACCCTCAGCTGCACGTCTGTTGGAGTACCTGGCCGTGTGAGGTGTCATTCTGCCCCTGCTGGGGGGTCCCTCCCAGTTAGGCTGCTCTGGGTTCAGGGGTCAGGGCCTCACTTGAGGTGGCAGTCTGCCCATTCTCAGA
>NT_187431.1:0-1300 GCF_000001405.40 Homo sapiens
AAATAAAAAATACACGGAAGCATTCTGAGAAACTTCATTGTTTTGTGTGCATTCAACTCACAGAGTTGAACCTATCTATTGATTGAGCAGTTTTGAAAACCTCTTTTTTAGAAACTGCAAGTGGATATTTGGAGCCCTTTGCGCCCTGTGGTGGAAAAGGAAATATCTTCAAATAAAAACTACACAGAAGCATTCAAAGAAACTTCCTTGTGAAGTGTGCATTCATCTGTGATGTGTGCTTTCACTTCACAGAATTGAACCTATCTTTTGATTGAGCAGTTTTGAAACTCTCTTTTTGTGGAATCTGCAAGTGGATATTTGGAACCCTTTGCAGCCTATGGTGGAAAAGGAAATATTTTCAAATAAATAATACACAGAAGCATTCAGAGAAACTTCTTCGTGGTGAGTGCCTTCATCACAGAGAGTTGAACCTTTCCTTTGATTGAGCAGTTTTGAAACACTCTTTTTGCAGGATCTGCAGGTGGATATTTTAGTGTTTTGAGGCCAAATGTGGAAAATCAAATATCTTCACATAAAAACTACACAGAAGCATTCTGGGAAACTACTTAGGGAGGTGTGCATTCAACTCACAGAGTTGAACCTATCTTTTCATTGAGCAGCATTGAGTCTCTCTTTCTGTAGAATCTGCAAGTGGATATTTGGAGAGATTTGAGGCCTATTGTGGAAAAGGAAATATCTTCACATAAAAACTACACAAAAGCATTCTGAGAAAATTCTTTGTGAGGTATGCATTGAACTCACATAATTGAACCTATCTTTTGATTGAGCCGTTTAGATTATCTCTTTTTGTAGAATCTGCAAGTGGATATTTGGAGCCCTTAGCAGCCTATGGTGGAAAAGGAAATATCATCAAATAAAAACTACACAGAAGCATTCTGAGAAACATCTTTATGATGTTTCCATTCATCTCACAGGGTGGAACCTGTCTTTTGATTGAGTAGTTTAGAATCTCTCTTTTTGTAGAATCTGCAAGTGGTTATTTGAGCCCTATTTCACCCAATAGTGGAAAAGCAAATATCTTCAAATAAAAACTACACAGAATCATTCAGAGAAACTACTTTGTGATGAGTGCATTCATCACACAGAGTTGAACGTTTGTTTTGATTGATCAGTTTTGAGACATTCTTTCCGTAGAATCTGAAAGTGAATATTTGGAGGGCTTCGAGTCCTATTTTGGAGAAGGAGATATCGTCATATAAAAACTACACAGAAGCATTCTGAGAAACTTCCTTGTGAGGTGTGCATTGAACTCAAAAAGTTGAATCTATCTTTTGATTCA
>NT_187432.1:0-22689 GCF_000001405.40 Homo sapiens
AGGGCCTCAAAGCACGCCAAATATCCACTTGCAGATCCTATGAAAAGAGTGTTCCAAAACTGGTCAATCATAAGATAGGTTTAACTCTGTGAGTTGAATGCACAATCACGAGGAAGTTTCTCAGAATGCCTCTGTGTGCTTTTCATTTGAAGGTATTTCCTTTTCCACCATAGGCCGCAAAGGGCTCCAATATCCCCTTGCAGATTCTGCAAAATGAGAGATTCAAAACTGCTCAATCAAAAGATAGGTTCAACTCTGTGAGTTGAATGCTCACATAACAAAGAAGTTTCTCACAGTATTTCTGCGTAGTTGTTTAAGTGAAGATATTCTCTTTTCCAAAATAGGGACTCAGAATGCTTCTGTGTAGTTTTTATTTGAAGATATTTCCTTTTCCACCATAGGCCGCAAAGGGCTCCAAATATCCACTTGCAGATTGTATAAAAAGAGAGATTCAAAACTGGTCACTCAAAGGATCGGTTCAGCTCTGTGAGGTGAATGCACACATCAAAAAGAAGTTTCTTAGAGTGCCTCTATGTAGATTTTATGTGAAGATATTTGCTTTTCCACTTTAGGTCTCAAAGCGCTCCAAATATCCACGTGCAGATTCTAAAAAAAGAGAGATTCTAAGCTACTCCATCAAAAGATAGGTTCAGCTCTGTGAGTTGAATTCACACATCACAAAGAAGTTTCTAGGAGTGCTTCTGTGTAGTTGTTATGTGAAGATATTTGCTTTTCCACAGTAGGCCTCAAATCGCTCTACATATCCACTTGCAGTTTCTACAAAAAAGAGTGTTTCCAACTGCTCCATCATAAGACACGTTGAACTCTGAGAGTTGAATGCACACATCACAAAGAAGCTTCTCAGAATGCTTCTGTGTGGTTTTAATTTGAAGATATTTCCTTTTCCAAAACAGGCCTCAAAGCTCTCCAAATATCCACCTGGTTATTCTGCAAAAAGAGGGTTTCAATACTACTCAATAAAAAGGAAGATTCAACTCTGTGTGAGGAACGCATTCATCACAAAGAAGTCTTTCTGAATGCTTCTGTGTAGCTTTTATATGAAGATATTTCCTTTTACACCACAGGGTGCAAACAGCTCCAAACTTCCACTTGCAGATTCTACAAAAAGACGTATTCAAAACTGTACAATCAAAAGATAGTGTCAACTCTGCATGTTCAATGCACACATCACAAAGGACTTTCTCTGAATGCTTCTCTGTAGGGTTTGTTTATGTGAAGATATTTGCTTTTCCACTATAGGGTGAAACAGGGCTCCAAGTATCAACTTGCAGATTCTGCAAAAAGGAGATTCAAAACAGCTAAATCCAAAGATTACTTCAACTATGTGAGTTGAATGCACACACAAAAAAGAAGTTTCTCAGAATGCCTCTGTGTAGTTTTTATGTGAAGATATTTGATTTTCCACATTAGGCCTCAAAGCGCTCCAAATATCCACTTGCAGATTCTACAAAAAGAGCGTTTCAAAACTGCCCTATCAAAAGAAACGTCCAACACTGTGAGATGAATGCACACATCACAAAGAAGTTTCTCAGAATGCTTCTTTGTAGTTTTTATATGAAGATATTTCCCTTTCCAAACAGGGTACAAAGAACTCCCAATATCCACTTGCAGATTCCACAAAGAAAGAGATATGAAAGTGCTCCATGGAAAGATAAGTTCAACTCTGTGAGTGGAATGCACACCTCACAAAGAAGTATCTCAAAATGCTTCTGCGTAGTTTTTATGTGAAGATATTTCCTTTTCCAAATAGTCCTCAAAGTTCTCCAGATATCCACTCGCAGATTCTGCAAAAAGAGAGACTCAAAACTGCTGAATCAAAAGATAGTTTCAACTCTGTGACTTCATTGCACACCTCACAAACATGTTTCTCAGAATGCTTCTGTGCAGTTTTTATATAAAGATATCTCCTTCTCCAAAATAGATCTCAAAGTTATCCAAGTATTCACTTCCAGATTCTATGGAAATATTATCTCAAAACTGCTCAATCAAACCAAAGGTTCAACTCTGTGAGATAAATGCACACATCACAAAGAAGTTTCTCAGAATACTTCCGTGTAGTTTTTATTTGAGGATAGTTCCTTTTCCACCACAGACCACAAAGGGCTCCAAATATCCATTGCAGATGGTACAAACAGAGAGACTCGAAACTGCTCAATCAAAAGTAGTTTCAACCATGTGATATGAATGCACACAGAACAGAGAAATTTCTCAAAATGCTTCTGTCTAGTTTTTATTTGAAGATATAGCCTTTTCTACCATAGGCCACAAACGTCTCCAAATATCCACATGCAGCTTCTACAAAAAGAGAGATTCAAAGCTTCTCAATCAAAAGATAGGTTCAACTCTGTGAGTTGAATGCACACTTCACAAAGAAGTTTCTCAGAGTGCTTCTGTGTGTTTTTATGTGAAGATGATCCCTTTTCCACAATAGGCCTCAAAGCTCTCCAAATATCTGCAAGCAGAGTCTACAAAAAGAGAGATTCAAAACTGCTCAATGAAAAGATAGGTTCAACTCTGTGAGTTGAATGTACACCTCCAAAGAAGTTTCTCAGAATGCTTCCGTGTAGTTTCTATGTGAAGATATTTACTTTTCCACAATTGTCCCAAAGCTCTAAAATATCCACTTGCAGACCCTCTGAAAGAGTGTTTCAGAATTGCTCAATCAAAGGAGAGGTTCAATTCTGTGTGACCAATGCACTCATCACCAAGAAGTTTGTCTGAATGCTTCTGTGTAGAATGGATTTGAAGATAATTCCTTTTCCACCACAGTCCGCAAAGGGCTAAAAATATCCATTTGCAGATTCCCCAAAAAGAGAGACTCAGAACTGCTCAATCACAAGGTAGGTTCAACTTGGTAATTTGAAAGCCCACATGACAAACAATTTCTGAGAATGTTTCTGTGTAGGTTTTAAGGGAAGATATTTGATTTTCAAATGTAGGCCTCAAATCGCTCCAAATATCCACTTGCAGATTGAACAAAAAGAGAGATTCAAAACTGGTCACTCAAAAGATAGGTCCAGCTCTGTGAGTTGAATGCAAACCTCACAAAGATGTTTCTCAGAAAGCTTCTGTATAGTTTTTATATGAAGATATTTGCTTTTCCACAACATACCTCAAATCTCTCCAATTATCCACTTGCAGATTCTACAGAAGGAGTGTTTTAAAACTGCTCAATCAAAATACACTTTCAACTCTGTGAGATCAATGCACACATCACAAAGAAGTTTCTCAGAATGCTTCTGTATAGTTTTTATCTGAAGTTACTTGCTTTTCCACGATAGGCCTCAAAGCACACCAAATATCCACTTGCAGATCCTATGAAAACAGTGTTCCAAAACTGGTCAATCATAAGATAGGTTTAACTCTGTGAGTTGAATGCACAATCACAAGAAGTTTCTCAGAATGCCTCTGTGTAGTTTTTATTTGAAGGTATTTCCTTTTCCACCCTAGGTAGCAAAGGGCTCCAAATATCCTCTTGCAGATTCTGCAAAATGAGAGATTCAAAACTGCTCAATCAAAAGATAGGTTCAGCTCTGTGAGTTGAATGCTCACATAACAAAGAAGTTTCTCACAGTATTTCTGCGTAGTTTTTAAGTGAAGATATTTTCTTTTCCGAAATAGACCTCAAAGCCCTCCAAATATCAACTTCCAGACTCTACAAAAGCAGTGTTTCAAAACTGCTCAATCAAAAGAAAGTGTCAACTCTGTGAGATGAATGTACACATCACAAAGAAGTTTCTCAGAATGCTTCTGTGTAGTTTTTATTTGAAGATATTTCCTTTTCCACCACAGGCCGCAAAGGGCTCCCAATATCCACTTGCAGATTGTACAAAAAGAGAGATTCAAAACTGGTCACTCAAGCACTGTGTGCTTCAGCTCTGTGAGTTGAATGCACACATCAAAAAGAAGTTTCTTAGAGTGCCTCTATGTAGATTTTATGTGAAGATATTTGCTTTTCCACTTTAGGTCTCAAAGCGCTCCAAATATCCACGTGCAGATTCTAAAAAAAGAGAGATTCTAAGCTACTCCATCAAAAGATAGGTTCAGCTCTGTGAGTTGAATTCACACATCACAAAGAAGTTTCTAGGAGTGCTTCTGTGTAGTCGTTATGTGAAGATATTTGCTTTTCCACAGTAGGCCTCAAATCGCTCTACATATCCACTTGCAGTTTCTACAAAAAAGAGTGTTTCCAAACTGCTCCATCATAAGACACGTTGAACTCTGAGAGTTGAATGCACACATCACAAAGAAGTTTCTCAGAATGCTTCTGTGTGGTTTTAATTTGAAGATATTTCCTTTTCCAAAACAGGCCTCAAAGCTCTCCAAATATCCCCCTGGTTATTCTGCAAAAAGAGGGTTTCAAAACTACTCAATAAAAAGGAAGATTCAACTCTGTGTGAGGAACGCATTCCTCACAAAGAAGTCTCTCTGAAAGCTTCTGTGTAGTTTTTATATGAAGATATTTCCTTTTGCACCACAGCGTGCAAACAGCTCCAAACTTCCACTTGCAGATTCTACAAAAAGAGATATTCAAAACTGTACAATCAAAAGATAGTTTCAACTCTGCGTGTTCAATGCACACATCACAAAGGACTTTCTCTGAATGCTTCTCTGTAGTGTTTGTTTATGTGGAGATATTTGCTTTTCCACTATAGGGTGAAACAGGGCTCCAGGTATCAACTTGCAGATTCTGCAAAAAGGAGATTCAAAACAGCTAAATCCAAAGATAACTTCAACTATGTGAGTTGAATGCACACACAAAAAAGAAGTTTCTCAGAATGCCTCTGTGTAGTTTTTATGTGAAGATATTTGATTTTCCACATTAGGCCTCAAAGCGCTCCAAATATCCACTTGCAGACTCTACAAGAAGACTCTTTCGAAACTGCCCTATCAAAAGAAACGTCCAACACTGTGAGATGCATGCACACATCACAAAGAAGTTTCTCAGAATGCTTCTTTGTAGTTTTCATGTGAAGATATTTCCTTTTCCAAAGAAGGCCACAAACTACTCCCAATATCCACTTCCAGGTTCTACAAAATGAGTGTTTCAAAACTGCTCAATCATTAGATAGGTTCAACTCTGTGAGATGAATGCACACATCACAAAGAAGTTTTTCGGAATGCTTCTATATAGTTTTTAGGTGAAGGTGTTTCCTTTTCCGCCATAGGTTGCAAAAGGGCTCCAAATACCCACTTGCAGATTCGACCAAAAGAGAGATTCAAAACTGCTCAATGGTAAGTCCAACTCTGTTGGTTGAATCCATGCCTCACAGAGAAGTTTCTCAGAATGCTTCTCTGTAGTTTCTATGTGAAGATATTTCCTTTTTCACAATAGGCCTCAAGCTTTCCAAATATCCACTTGCAGATTCTGCAAAAAGAGAGATACAAAACTGCTCTATCAAAAGATAGGTTCGACTCTGTGAGTTCAATGCAAACATCACAAAGAAGTTTCTCAGAATGCTTCTGTGTAGTTTTTATGTGAAGATGTTCTGTTTTCTACCATAGGGCGAAATGGGGCTCCAAATCTCTACTTGCATTTTCTACAAAAGGAGAGATTCTAAGCTGCTCAATCAAAAGATAGGTTCAACACTGTTAGTTGAATGCACACATCCCAACGAAGTTTCTCAGAATGCTTCTGTGTAGTTTTTATGTGAAGATATTTGCTTTTCCACAATAGGCCTCAAATCGTTCTAAATATCCACTTGCAGGCTCTACAAAAAGAGTGTTTCCAAATTGCTCAATCATAAGGTAGCTTCAACTCTGAGAGTTGAATGCTCACATCATAAAGAAGTTTCTCAGAATGGTTCTGTGTAGTTTTACTTTGAAGATATTTCATTTTCCAAATGAGGCCCCAAAGCTCCCCAAATATCCACTTGGTGATTCTGCAAAAAGAGCGTTTCAATACTGCTCAATAAAAAGAAAGGTTCAACTCTGTGTGAGGAATGCATTCATCACAAAGAAGTTTCTCTGAATGCTTCTTTGTAGTTTTTATATGAAGATATTTCCCTTTCCACCACAGGGTGCAAAGAGCTCCAAATATCCACTTGCAGATTCTACAAAAAAAGAGATATGAATGTGCTCAATGAAATGATAAGTTCAACTCTGTGAGTTGAATGCACACCTCACAAAGAAGTATCTCAAAATGCTTCTGCGTAGTTTTTATGTGAAGATATTTCCTTTTCCAAATAGGTCTCAGAGTTCTCTGGATATCCACTTGCAGATTCTGCAAAAAGAGAGATTCAAAACTGCTCAATCAAAAGATACGTTCGACTCTGTGAGTTGAATGCACACATCACAATGTAGTTTCTCAGAAGTCTTCTGTGTAGTTTTTATGGGAAGATATTTGATTTTCCACAGTAGGCCTCAAAGTGTTCCAAATATCGACTTGCAGATTCTGCAAAAAGAGAGACTCAAAACTGCTCAATCAAAAGATAGTTTCAACTGTGTGAGTTGAAAGCACACATCACAAAGAAGTTTTTCAGAATGCTTCTGTGTATTTTTTATGTGAAGATATTTGATTTTCCACAGTAGGCTTCAAAGCACTCCAAATATCCACTCGCAGATTCTGCAAGAAGAGAGATTCAAATCTGCTGAATCAAAAGATAGGTTTAACTCTGTGACTTCAATGCACACCTCACAAGGGTGTTTCTCAGAAAGCTTCTGTGTAGTGTTTATATGAAGTTATCTCCTTCTCCAAAGCAGATCTCAAAGCCCTCCAAATATTCACTTCGAGATTCTACGGAAGATTGTCTCAACACTGCTAAATCAAAACAAAGTTTCAACTCTGTGTGATGAATGCACTCATCACAGAGAAGTTTCTCTGAATGCTTCTGTGTAGTTTTTATTTGAAGATATTTGCTTTTCCAGTATGGGGCGAAATAGGGCTCCAAATATTCACTTGCAGATTCTACAAAAAGAAAGATTCCAAACTGCTCAATCAAAATATAGGTTCAACATTGTGAGTTGAATGCACACATCACAAAAAGTTTCACAGAGTGCTTCTCGGTAGTTTTTATTTGAGGATATTTCCCTTTCCACAATAGGCCTCAAAGCTTTCCAAATATCCACTTGCAGATTCTGCAAAAAGAGAGATACAAAACTGCTCTATCAAAAGATACCTTCGACTCTGTGAGTTGAATGCGAACATCGCGAAGAAGTTTCTCAGATTGCTTCTGTGTATTTTTTTTGTGAATATGTTTCGTTTTGCACCTTACGGTGAAATGGAGCTCCAAATATCCACTTGCATTTTCTACGAAAAGAGAGATTCTAAGCTGCTCAATCAAAAGATAGGTTCAACACTGTTAGTTGAATGCACACTTCCCATAGAAGTTTCTCAGAATGCTTCTGTGTAGTTTTTATGTGAAGATATTTCCTTTTCCACACTAGGTCTCAAATCTCTGTAAATATCCACTTGCAGACTCTACAAAGAGTGTTTCCAAGCTGCTCAATCATAAGATAGGTTCAACTCCGATAGTTGAATTCACACATCACAAAGAAGTTTCTCAGAAAGCTTCTGTGTAGTTTTTTATGAAGATATCTTCTTCTCTAAAACAGAACTCAAAGCCCTCCAAATATTCACGTCAAGATTCTACGGAAAGATTGTCTCAAAACTGCTAAATCAAAACAAAGGTTCAACTCTGTGTGATGAATGCATTCATCACAAAGAAGTTTCTCAGAATACTTCTGTGTAGTTTTTATTTGAGGATACTTCCTTTTCCACCGCAGACCACAAAGGGCTCCAAATATCCATTGCAGATGTTATAAAAGAGAGATTCAAAACTGCTCAATCAACAGGTAGTTTCAACCATGTGATATGAATGCACACAGCACAGAGAATTTTCTCAAAATGCTTCTGTCTAGTTTTTATTTGAAGATATTTCCTTTTCTACCATAGGCCACAAACGTCTCCAGATATCCACATGCAGCTTCTACAAAAAGAGAGATTCAAAACTTCTCAATCAAAAGATAGGTTCAACTCTGTGAGTTGAATGCAGACATCACAAAGAAGTTTCTCAGAGTGCTTCTGTGTGTTTTTATGTGATGATATTTCCTTTTCCACAATAGGCCTCAAAGCTGTCCAAATATCTGCAAGCAGAGTCTACAAAAAGAGAGATTCCAAACTGCTCCATGAAAAGATAGGTTCAACTCTGTGCGTTGAATGCACACCTCCAAAGAAGTTTCTCAGAAAACTTCTGTTTAGTTTTTATGTGAAGATATTTCCTTTTTCATCATGGGCCTCAAAGTGCTCCAAATATCCACCTGCAGAATCTACAAAAAGAGTGTTTTCAAACTGCTTAATAACAAGAAAGTTTTAACTCTGTGAGATGAAAGCACACTTCAAAAATGAGTTTCTTAGAAACCTTCTATCTAGTTTTTATGTGAAGATATTTCATATTTCAATATAGGTCTCAATGGGCTCAGAATTATACTCTTGCAGATGCTACAAAAAGAGTGTTTCCAAAAAGCTCGATCAAAAGAAAGGTTTAACATTGTAAGATGAATGCACTCATTACAAAGAAGTCTCTCAGAATGCTTCTGTGTACTTTTTTTGGGAAGCCATTTCCTTTTTCACCATAGGCCTCATTCCACTCACTAATAGCCCACTGCAGATACTAAGAAAGACTCTTTCCAAACTGCTCAATGAAAACAAAGGTTCAAATCTGTGAGATGAAAGCCCACCTCTCAAAGAAGTTTCTCAGAAAGTTTCTGTCTAGTTTTTATGTGAAGATATTTCCTATTTCACCTTAGGTCTCAAAGAGATAAAAAATATCCCTTTTCAGATTCTGCAAAAAACTCTTTCCAAACTGCCTCATCAAAAGAAAGGTTCAACTCTGTGTGATCAATGCACACATAAAGAAATTAGTTTCTCATAATGCTTCTGTCTAGTTTTTATGTGAAGATATTACTTTTTCACCATAGGTCTCAAACCGCAAAAAAATATTTCTTTGCAGATTGCACAAAAAGTATGATTCCACACTTCTCAATGAATGGAAAGGTTCAACTCAGTGAGATGAATGCAAACATCAAAAAGGGTTTTCTCAAAATGCTTCTGTCTAGGTTTTAGGTGAAGGTATTTACTTTTTCACTATAGGCCTCAAACCACTCGCAAATATCCCTTTGCAGATTCTACAAAATGACTTTTTGCCAAACTGCTCATTGAAAACAAGGTCCAGCTCTGTGAGATGAAAGCACACATCACAAGGAAGTTTCTCAGAAAGTTTCCATCTAGTTTTTATATGCAGATATTTTCTTTTTCACCATAGGCCTCAAAGCACTCCAAATATCCACTTGCAAGTTCTACAAAAAGAGTGTTTCCAAACTGCCCAATCAAAAGAGAGGTTCAAATCTGTGAGGTGAAAGCACACAGCACAAAGAAGATTTACAGAAAGCTTCTGTCTATTTATTTATTTATTTATTTATTATTATACTTTAATTTTAAGGTACATGTGCACATTGTGCAGGTTAGTTACATATGTATACATGTGCCATGCTGGTGTGCTGCACCTACTAACTCGTCATCTAGCATTAGGTATGTCTCCCAGTGCTATCCCTCCCCCCTCCCCCCACCCAACAACAGTCCCCAGAGTGTGATGTTCCACTTCCAGTGTCCATGTGTTCTCATTGTTCAGTTCCCACCTATGACTGAGAATATGCGGTGTTTGGTTTTTCGTTCTTGCGATAGTTTACTGAGAATGATGATTTCCAATTTCATCCATGTCCCTACAAAGGACATGAACTCATCATTTTTTATGGCTGCATAGTATTCCATGGTGTATATGTGTCACATTTTCTTAATCCAGTCTATCGTTGTTGGATATTTGGATTGGTTCCAAGTCTTTGCTATTGTGAATAATGCCGCAATAAACATACGTGTGCCTGTGTCTTTATAGCAGCATGATTTATTGTCCTTTGGGTATATACCCAGTAATGGGATGGCTGGGTCAAATGGTATTTCTAGTTCTAGATCCCAGAGGAATCGCCACACTGACTACCACAATGGTGGAACTACTTTACAGTCTCACCAACAGTGTAAAAGTGTTCCTATTTCTCTACATCCTCTCCAGCACCTGTTGTTTTCTGACTTTTTAATGATTGCCATTCTAACTGGTGTGAGATGGTATCTCATTGTGATTTTGATTTGCATTTCTCTGACGGCCAGTGATGGTGAGCATTTTTTCATGTGTTTTTTGGCTGCATAAATGTCTTCTTTTGAGAAGTGTCTGTTCATGTCCTTTGCCCACTTTTTGATGGGGTTATTTGTTTTTTTCTTGTAAATTTGCTTGAGTTCATTGTAGATTCTGGATATTAGCTCTTTGTCAGATGAGTAGGTTGCGAAAATTTTCTCCCATTTTGTAGGTTGCCTGTTCACTCTGATGATAGTTTCTTTTGCTGTGCAGAAGCTCTTTAGTTTAATTAGATCCCATTTGTCAATTCTGTCTTTTGTTGCCATTGCTTTTCGTGTTTTAGACATGAAGGCCTTGTACATGCCTATGTCCTGAATGGTAATGCCTAGGTTTTCTTCTAGGGTTTTTATGGCTTTAGGTATAACGTTTAAGTCTTTAATCCATCTTGAATTGATTTTTGTATAAGGTGTAAGGAAGGGATCCAATTTCAGCTTTCTACATATGGCTAGCCAGTTTTCCCAGCACCATTTATTAAATACGGAGTCCTTTCCCCATTGCTTGTTTTTCTCAGGTTTGTCAAAGATCAGATAGGTGTAGATATGCGGCGTTATTTCTGAGGGCTCTGTTCTGTTCCATTGATCTATATCTCTGTTTTGGTACCAGTACCATGCTGTTTTGGTTACTGTAGCCTTGTAGTATAGTTTGAAGTCGGGTAGTGTGATGCCTCCAGCTTTGTTCTTTTGGCTTAGGATTGACTTGGCGATGTGGGCTCTTTTTTGATTCCACACGAACTTTAAAATAGTTTTATTCCAATTCTGTGAAGAAATTGATTGATAGCTTGATGGGGATGGCATTGAATCTGTAAATTACCTTGGGCAGTATGGCCATTTTCACGATATTGATTCTTCCTATCCATGAACATGGAATGTTCTTCCATTAGTTTTTATCCTCTTTTATTTCCTTGAGCAGCGGTTTGTAGTTCTCCTTGAAGAGGTCCTTCACATCCCTTGTAAGTTGGATTCCTAGGTATTTTATTCTCTTTGAAGCAATTGTGAATGGGAGTGCACTCATGATTTGGCTCTCTGTCTGTTGTTGGTGTATAGGAATGCTTGTGATTTTTGCACAATGATTTTGTATCCTGAGATTTTGCTGAAGTTGCTTATCAGCTTAAGGAAAATTACGACTGAGACAATGGGGTTTTCTAGATATACAATCATGTCATCTACAAACAGGGACAATTTGACTTCCTCTTTTCCTAATTGAATACCCTTTATTTCCTTCTCCTGCCTAATTGCCCTGGCCAGAACTTCCAACACTATGTTGAATAGGAGTGGTGAGAGAGGGCATCCCTGTCTTGTGCCAGTTTTCAAAGGGAATGCTTCCAGTTTCTGCCCTTTCAGTATGATATTGACTGTGGGCTTGTCATAGATAGCCCTTATTATTTTGAAATATGTCCCATCAATAACTAATTTATTGAGAGATTTTAGCATGAAGGGTTGTTGAATTTTGTCAAAGACCTTTTCTGCATCTATTGAGATAATCATGTGGTTTTTGTCTTTGTCTCTGTTTATATGCTGGATTACATTTATTGATTTGCGTATATTGAACCAGCCTTGCATCCCAGGGATGAAGCCCACTTGATCATGGTGGATAAGCTTTTTGATGTGCTGCTGGATTCGGTTTGCCAGTATTTTATTGAGGATTTTTGCATCAATGTTCATCAAGGATATTGGTCTAAAATTCTCTTTTTTGGTTGTGTCTCTGCCCAGCTTTGGTATCAGGATGATGCTGGCCTCATAAAATGAGTTAGGGAGGATTCCCTCTTTTTCTATTGATTGGAATAGTTTCAGAAGGAACGGTACCAGTTCCTCCTTGTACCTCTGGTAGAATTCGGCTGTGAATCCATCTCGTCCCGGACTCTTTTTGGTTGGTAAGCTATTGATTATTGCCACAATTTCAGATCCTGTTTTTGGTCTATTCAGAGATTCAACTTCTTCCTGGTTTAGTCTTGGGAGAGTGTATGTGTCAAGGAATTTATCCATTTCTTCTAGATTTTCTAGTTTATTTGCATAGAGGTGTTTGTAGTATTCTCTGATGGTAGTTTGTATTTCTCTGGAATCGGTGGTGATATCCCCTTTATCATTTTTTATTGCATCTATTTGATTCTTCTCTCTTTTTTTCTTTATTAGTCTTGTTAGTGGTCTATCAATTTTGTTGATCCTTTCAAAAAACCAGCTCCTGGATTCATTAATTTTTTGAAGGGTTTTTTTGTGTCTCTATTTCCTTCACTTCTGCTCTGATTTTACTTATTTCTTGCCTTCTGCTAGCTTTTGAATGTGTTTGCTCTTGCTTTTCTAGTTCTTTTAATTGTGATGTTAGAGTGTCAATTTTGGATCTTTCCTGCTTTCTCTTGTGGGCATTTAGTGCTATAAATTTCCCTCTATACACTGCTTTGAATGCATCCCAGAGATTCTGGTATGTTGTGTCTTTGTTCTCGTTGGTTTCAAAGAACATCTTTATTTCTGCCTTCGTTTTGTTGTGTACCCAGTAGTCATTCAGGAGCAGGTTTTTCTGTTTCCATGTAGTTGAGCGGTTTTGAGTGAGATTCTTAATCCTGAGTTCTATTATGATTGCTCTGTGGTCTGAGAGATAGTTTGTTATAATTTCTCTTACTTTACATTTGCTGAGGAGAGCTTTACTTCCAATTATGTGGTCAATTTTGGAATAGGTGTGGTGTGGTGCTGAAAATAATGTATATTCTGTTGATTTGTGGTGGAGAGTTCTGTAGATGTCTATTAGGTCAGCTTGGTGCAGACCTGAGTTCAATTCCTGGATATCGTTGTTGAATTTCTGTCTCGTTGATCTGTCTAATGTTGACAGTGGGGTGTTAAAGTCCCCCATTATTAATGTGTGGGAGTCTAAGTCTCTTTGTTGGTCACTCAGGACTTTCTTTATGAATCTGGGTGCTCCTGTATTGGGTGCATATATATTTAGGATAGTTAGCTCTTCTTGTTGAATTGATCCCTTTACCATTATGTAATGGCCTTCTTTGTCTCTTTTGATCTTTGTTGGTTTAAAGTCTGTTTTGTCAGAGACTAGGATTGCAACCCCTGCCTTTTTTTGTTTTCCATTTACTTGGTAGATCTTCCTCCATCCTTTTATTTTGAGCCTATGTGTGTCTCTGCACATGAGATGGGTTTCCTGAATACAGCAGAATGATGGGTCTTAACTCTTTATCCAATTTGCCAGTCTGTGTCTTTTAATTGGAGTATTTAGTCCATTTACATTTAAAGTTAATAGTATTATATGTGAATTTGATCCTGCCATTATGATGTTAGCTGGTTATTTTGCTCGTTAGTTAACGCAGTTTCTTCCTAGTCTCCATGGTCTTTACATTTTGGCATGATTTTGCAGTGGCTGGTACTGGTTGTTCCTTTCCATGTTTAGCACTTCCTTCAGGAGCTCTTTTAGGGCAGGCCTGGTGGTGACAAAATCTCTCAGCATTTGATTGTCTGTAAAGTATTTTATTTCTCCTTCACTTATGTAGCTTAGTTTGGATGGATATGAAATTCTGGGTTGAAAATTCTTTTCTTTAAGAATGTTGAATATTGGCCCCCACTCTCTTCTGGCTTGTAGGGTTTCTGCCAAGAGATCCGCTGTTAGTCTGATGGGCTTCCCTTTGAGGGTAACCCAACCTTTCTCTCTGGCTGCCCTTAACATTTTTTCCTTCATTTCAACTTTGGTGAATCTGACAATTATATGTCTTGGAGTTGCTCTTCTCGAGGAGTATCTTTGTGGCGTTCTCTGTATTTCTTGAATCTGAACGTTGGCCTGCCTTGCTAGATTGGGGAAATTCTCCTGGATAACATCCTGCAGAGTGTTTTCCAACTTGATTCCATTCTCCCCATCACTTTCAGGTACACCAATCAGACGTAGATTTGGTCTTTTCACATAGTCCCATATTTCTTGGAGGCTTTGCTCGTTTCTTTTTATTATTTTTTCTCTAAACTTTCCTTCTCACTTCATTTTATTCATTTCATTTTCCATCGCTGATACCCTTTCTTCCAGTTGATCACATCGACTCCTGAGGCTTCTGCATTTTTCACGTAGTTCTCGAGCCTTGGTTTTCAGCTCCATCAGTTTCTTTAAGCACTTCTCTGTATTGGTTATTCTAGTTACACATTCTTCTAAATTTTTTTCAAACTTTTCAACTTCTTTGCCTTTGGTTTGAATGTCCTCCCATAGCTCAGAGTAATTTGATCGTCTGAAGCCTTCTTCTCTCAGCTCGTCAAAGTCATTCTCCGTCCATCTTTGTTCCGTTGCTGGTGAGGAGCTGCCTTCCTTTGGAGGAGGAGAGGTGCTCTGATTTTTAGAGTTTCCAGTTTTTCTGTTCTGTTTTTTCCCCATCTTTGTGGTTTTATCTACTTTTGGTCTTTGATGATGTTGATGTGCAGATGGGTTTCTGCTGTGGATGTCCTTTCTGTTTGTTAGTTTTCCTTCTAACAGACAGGACCCTCAGCTGCAGGTCTGTTGGGGTACCCTGCAGTGTGAGGTGTCAGTGTGCCCCTGCTGGATGGTGCCTCCCAGTTAGGCTGCTCGGGGGTCAGGGGTCAGGGACCCACTTGAGGAGGCAGTCTGCCAGTTCTCAGATCTCCAGCTGCATACTGGGAGAACCACTGCTCTGTTCAAAGCTGTCAGACAGGGACATTTAAGTCTGCAGAGGTTACTGCTGTCTTTTTGTTTGTCTGTGCCCTGCCCCCAGAGATGGAGCCTACAGAGGCAGGTAGGCCTCCTTGAGCTGTGGTGGGCTCCACCCAGTTCGGGCTTCCTGGCTGCTTTGTTTCCCTAAGCAAGCCTAGGAAATTGTGCACGCCCCTCCACCAGCCTCGCTGCTGCCTTGCAGTTTGATCTCAGACTGCTATGCTAGCAATCAGCGAGACTCCATGGGGTAGGACCCTCTGAGCCAGGTGTGGGATATAATCTCGTGGTGCGCCATTTTATAAGCCCGTCAGAAAAGCACAGTATTCGGGTGGGAGTGACCCGATTTTCCAGGTGCCATCCGTCACCCCTTTCTTTGATTAGGAAAGGGAACTCCCTGACCCCTTGCGCTTCCTGAGTGAGGCAATGCCTTGCCCTGCTTCAGCTCATGCACGGTGCACACACCCACTGACCTGCGCCCACTGTCTGGCACTCCCTAGTGAGATGAACCCAGTACCTCAGGTGGAAATGCAGAAATCACCCATCTTCTGTGTCGCTCAGGCTTGGAGCTGTAGACTGGAGCTGTTCCTATTCGGCCATCTTGGCTCTGGTTCTCCTGTCTAGTTTTTATGTGAAGACATTTCTTATTTCACCATAGGCTCCAATGTGCTCACAAACATCCCTTTGCAGATTCTACAAAAGGACTCTTTCCAAACTGCTCAATCCAAGGAAAGTTTCAACTCTGTGACATGAATGCATACATTACAAAGAAGTTTCTCAGAATGCTTCTGTCTAGTTTTTATGTGAAGAAATTTCCTGTTCACCATAGGCCTGAAACACTGCAAATATCCATCTTCGGATTCTACAAAAAGACTGTTTCCAAACTGCTCAATCAAAAGAAAAGTTCAACTCTGTGAGATGAAAGCACACATCACAAAGAATTTTCTCAGAAAGCTTCTGTCTAGTTTTTCTTTGAGGACATTTCCTGTTTCACCATGGGCCATAAAGGGCTCAAAAATATTTTTTGCAGATTCTACAAAAAGACTGTTTCCAAACTGCTCAATCCAAAGAAAGGTTCAACTCTGTGAGATGAATGGACACAAGACAAAGAAGTTTCTCAGAATACTTCTGTCTAGGTTTCATGTGAGATATTTCCTTTTTCACCATAGGCCTCAAAGTGCTCCAAATATCCATTTGCAGATTCCACAAAAAGACTGATTCCAAATTGCTCAATAAAAATAAAGTTTCAACTCTGTGAGGTGAAAGCACGCATCACAAAGAAGTTTCTTAGAATGTATCTTTCTAGTTTTTTTGTGAAGATATTTCCTTTTTCACCATAGGCCTCAACATGCTCGAAGTATCCATTTGCAGATTCTACCAAAAGACTGTTTACAAACTGCTAAATCAAAAGAAAGTTTCAGTTCTGTGATATGAATGCATACATCACAAAGAAGTTTCTCAGAAAGCTTATGTTTAGTGTTTATCTGAAGATATTTCCTTTTTCACCACAGACCTCAAAGCGCTCCAAATATACATTTCCAGATTCTATAAAAAGTCTGTTTCCAAACTGCTCAATGAAAAGAAAGGTTCAACTCTGTGAGATGAAAGCACATATCACAAAGAAGTTTCTCAGAATGTTTCTTTCTAGTTTTTTTGTGAAGATATTTCCTTTTTCACCATAGAACTCAAAGCACTCCAAATATCCATTTGCAGATTCTACAAAAAGACTGTTTACAAACTCCTCAATCAAAAGAAGGTTTCAACAATGTGAGTTGAATGCACGCATTACAAAGTAGTTTCTCAGAAAGCTTCTGTTTAGTTTTTATGTGAAGATATTTCCTTTTCACCATAGGCCTCAAAACGCTCAAATTATCCCTTAGCAGATTATGCAAAAAGAGTGTTTCCAAAGTGCTCAGTCAAAAGAAATGCTTAACTGTTTGAGATGAAAACACTCATTAAAAATAAGTTTCTCAGAAAGCTTCTGTCAAGCTTTTATGTGAAGATATTTCCTATATCACCAAAGGCCTCAATCGGCTGAGAAATATCCCTTTGGGGATTCTACAATAGGAATGTTTCCAAACTGCTCTAGCAAAGGAAAGGTTCAACTCTGTGAGATGAATGCACGCATCACCAAAAAGTTTCTCAGAAAGTTTCTGTGTAGTTTTTATGTGAAGATATTTCCTACTTCACCATAGGCCTCAAAAGGTTCACAATTATCCCTTTGTAGATTTTACAAAAAGACTGTTTCCAAATCTTCAGTCAAATAAATGTTCAACTGTGTGAGATGAATGAAAACCTCACAAAGAAGTTTCTCATAATGCTTCCATCGAATTTTTATGTAATGATATTTCCTTTTTTACCATAGGCCTCAAAGTGCTCCAAATATCCATTTGCAAATTCTACAAAAAGGTGGTTTCCAAACTGTTCAATCAAAAGAAAGGTTCAACTCTGTGAGATGGAAGCACACATCACAAAGAAGTTTCTTAGAAACCTTCTGTCTAGTTTTTATGGGAAGATATTTCATATTCTACCGTAGGCCTCAATGGTCTCAGAAATATACCTTTGCAGATTCTACAAAAGGATTGTTTACAAACTGGTCAATCCAAAGAAAGGTTCAACACTCTGAGATTAATTCACACATCACAAAGAAGTTTCTCAGAAAGCTTCTGTCTAGTTTTTATATGAAGATATTTCTTTGTTCACCATAGGTCTCAAACTGCTCACAAACATCCCTCTACAGATACTACAAAAAGACTGTTACCAAACTGTTTAATCAAAAGAAGGGATCAACTCTGTGTTATAAATGCACATGTCACCAAGAAGTTTCTCAGAATCCTTCTGTCTAGTTTTTATGTGAAGATATTTGCTTTCTCACCAAGGCCTCAAACCACTCCAAATATCCACTTGCAGATGCTACAAAAAGATCGTTTCCAAACTGCTCAATGAATAGAAGGGTTCAACTCTGTGGGATGAAAGCACACATCACAAAGAAGTTTCATAGAATGTTGCTTTCTAGTTTTTATGTGAAGGTATTTCCTTTTTCACCATAGTCCTCAAGGTGCTCCAAATATCCATTTGCAGATTCCACAAAAAGTGTGTTTCCAAACTGCTCAATCAAAAGAAACGTTCAACTCTGTGAGATGAAAGCACACATCACAAATAAGTTTCTCAGAAATCTTCTGACTAGTTTTTATGTGAAGATATTTCCTATTTCACCATAGGCCTCAATGGGCTCACAAATATCCCTTTGCAGAATCTACAAAAGGACTGTTTTGAAACTGCTAAATCAGAAGAAAGTTTCAACTCTGTGAGATGAATGCATACATCGCAAAGAAATTTCTCAGAATGCTTCAGTCTAGTTTTTAGGTGAAGATATTTCCTTTTTCACCATAGGCGTCAAAGTCCTCCAAATATCCATTTGCATATTCTACAAAAAGTCTGTTTGTAAACTCCTCAATCAAAAGAGAGTTTCAACTCTCTGAAATGAAATCACTCTTCTTCATGAAGAAGTTTCTCAGAATGCTTCTGTCTAGTTTTTATGTGAAGATATTTCCTACTTCACCTTAGGCCATAAAGGGCTCACAAATATCCCTCTGCAGATTCTAGAAAAGGACTCTTTTCAAACCGCTCAATCAAAAGAAAGGTTCAAATCTGTGAGATGAATGCACACATCACAAAAAAAGTTTCTCCGAAAGCTTCTGTCCACTTTTTATGTGAAGATATTTCCCTTTTCACCATACCTATCAAAGCGCTCAAAATATCCCTTTGCAGATTCTCAGAAAAGACTGTTCCCAAACTTCTCAATCAAAAGAATGGTTCAACTCTGTGAGATGAATGCATACATCACAAAGAAGTTTCTCTGAAATCTTCTGTGTAGTTTTTATGTGAAGACATTTCCTTTTTTACCATAGGCCTCAAACCACTCCCAAATATCCCTTTGCAGATTTTACAAGAACAGAGTTTCCAGACTCATCAAAGAATAGAAACTTTTTTCTTTCTGAGATGAGTGCACACCTTGCAAAACAGCTTCTCAGAAACATTCTTTATAGTTTTTATTGAAGATATTTCCGTTTTCACCATAGGCCTCATAGAGCTGACAAATATCCCTTTGCAGATTCTACAAAAAGTCTGTTTACAAACTGCTCAATCAAGAGAATGCTTCAACTCTGTGAGATGAATGCACACATCACAAAGAGGTTTCTCCGAAATCTTCTGTCTAGTTTTTATATGAAGATATTTCCTTTCTCACCATAGGCCTCAAAGGGCTCACAAATATCCCATTGCGGATTCTACAAATTGACAGTTTTCAAACTGTTCAGTCAAAAGACTGTTTCAACTAAGTGAGATGAATGCACACATGACAAGGAGGTTTCTCAGAGAACTTCTGTCTATTTATTATGTGAAGGTATTTCCTTTTTCACCAAAGGCCTCAAAGTGCTCACATATATCTCCTTGCAGATTCTACAAGAACAGCGTATCCAAACTGATTAATCAAAAGATTGCATCACATAAAATCTCTAGAAGAAAACCTAGGCAATACCATTCAGGACATAGGCATGGGCAAGGACTTCATGTCTAAAACACCTAAAGCAATGGCAACAAAAGCCACAATTGACAAATGGGATCTCATTAAACTAAGGAGCTTCTGCACAGCAAAAGAAACCACCATCAGAGTGAACAGGAATCCTTTACAATGGGAGAAAAAATTTGCAACCTACTCATCTGACAAAGGGCTAATATCCTGTATCTAGAATGAACTCAGACAAAGTTACAGGAAAAAAAAACAAACAACCCCATCAAAAAGTGGGTGAAGGATATGAACAGACATTTCTCAAAAGAAGACATTTATGCAGCCAATGAACAAATGAAAAAATGCTCATCTTCACTGGCCATCAGAGAAATGCAAGTCAAAACCACAATCAGATACCATCTCACACCAGTTAGAATGGTGATCATTAAAAAGTCAGGAAAAAACAGGTGCTGGAGAGGTTGTGAGAAATAAGAACACTTTTGCACTGTTGGTGGGAATGTAAACTAGTTCAACCATTGTGGAAGTCAGTATGGCGATTCCTCAGGGATCCAGAACTAGAAATACCACTTGACCCAGCCATCTCATTACTGGGTATATACCCAAAGGATTATAAATCATGCTGCTATAAAGACACATGCACACGTATATTTATAGCGGCACTATTCACAATAGCAAAGACTTGGAACCAACGTAAATGTCCAACAACGATAGAATGGATGAAGAAAATGTGGCGTATATACATCATGGAACACTATGCGGCCATAAAAAAATGATGAGTTCATGTCCCTTGTAGGGACATGGATGAAGCTGGAAACCATCATTCTCAGCGAATTATTGCAAGGACAAAAAATAAAACACGACATGTTCTCACTCATAGTTGGGAATTGATCAAAGAGAACACATGGACACAGGAAGGGAAACATCACACAAAATACATCAGGGATTGTAGTCGGGTGGGGGGAGGGGGAAGGGGAGGGATAGCATTAGGAGATATACCTAATGCTAAATGATGAGTTCATGGGAGCAACACACAAACATGGAACATCTATACATATGTAACAAACCTGCACATTGTACACATGTTCCCTAAAACTTAAAGTATATTAATAATAAAAGTAAATAATTAAAAAATAAACCGAGAGCTCCAAAAAAAAGAAGAATGGTTCAACTCTATGAGATGAATGCATAAATCACAAATAAGTTCCTCAGAAAGCTTCTGTCTACATTTTATATGAAGATATTTCCTTTTTCACCATAGGCCTCAAAGCGCTCACAAATATCCCTTTGCAGATTCTACAAGAAAAGAGTTTCCCATCTACTCAATGAAAAGAAACATTTACCTCTGGGAGATGAATGCACACATTACAAAGTAGTTTCTCAGAAACCTTCTGTATAGTTTTTATGTGAAAATATTTCATTTTTCCCCATAGGACTCAAAGCGCTCACAAATATCCCTTTGCTGATTCTACAAAAAGACTGTTTCCAAACTCCTCAATCAAAAGAAAGTTTCAACTGTTTGGGAGGAATGTACACATAAAACAGAAGAGTCTCAGAAAGCATCTGTCTAGTATTCATGTGAAGATATTTCCTTTCTCACCATTGGCCTCCAAGTGTACACAAATATCCCTTTGCAGATTCTACAAAAAGACTGTTTCCAATACGCTAAATCAATAGAAAGGTTCAAGTCTGTGAGATGAATTCAAACATCACAGAGCAGTTTCTCAGAAACCATCCTTCTAGTTTTTCTGTGAAGATATTTCCTTTTTCACCTCAGGATTCAAAGTGCTCCTTTTGTAGATTCTACAAAAAGTCTGTTACCAAACTGCTCAGTCAAAAGAATGGTTAAACTCTGTGAGATGAATGCACATATCACAAAAAAGTTTCTCAGAAATCTTCTGTCTAGTTTTCATGTGAAGATAGGGGTGCAGTGGAATGAAATGGAATGGAACAGAATGGAAGGGAATGGAATGGAGTGGAGTGGAATGGAATGGAATGGAATGGAATGGAATGGAATGGAATGGAGTGGAGTGGAGTGGAGTGGTGACGATTGGAATGGAGTGGAGTGGAGAGGAGTGGAATGGAATGGAGTGGATTTGAAAGGAATGGAATGGAATGGATTGGAGTGGAGAGGAGTGGAGTAGAATGGAATGGAATGGACGCGAATGGAGTGGAGTGGAATGGGATGGAGTGGAGTGGAGAGGAGTGGATTGGAGTGGATTAAAATGGAGTGGAGTGGAGTGGATTGGAGTGGAGTGGAGTGGAGTGGAGTTGAATGGAGTGCAATGGAATGGAATGGAATGGAGGGGAAATGAATGGAATAGAGTGGAATGGAAACGAGTGGAGTGAAGTGGAAAGGAATGGAATAGAGTGGAATGGAATGGAGTGGAGTGCAGAGGAGAGGAGTGGAATGGAGTGTAATGGAGTGAAACGGAGTGGAGTGGAATGGATTAGAGTGGAATGGAGTGGAGTGGAATGGAATGGAACGGAATGGAATGGAATGGAACAGAATGGAATGAAAAGGAACAGAACAAAGTGGAGTGGAGTGCAGTTGAGTGAAGTGGATTGGAGTGGACTAGAATGGAATGGAACGGAAAGAAATGGAATAGAATGGAATGGCATGGAATGCACTGGAGTAGAATGGAATGGAATGGAATGGAATGGAATGCAATGCAATGCAATGGAATGGAATGAAATAGCGAAATGTAAGGTGAGCTAAGATTGTGCCACTGCACTACAGTCTGAGTGACAGAGTTACATCCAATCGAAATAAAGGAATGGAATGCAATGGAGTAGAGTGGAATGGAATGGATTGGAGTGGAAAGGAATGGAATGCAATGGAGTAGAGTGGAATGGAATGGATTGGAGTGGAAAGGAATGGAATGGAGTGGAATGGAGTGGAGTGGACAGGAATGGAATGGAGTGGAATGGAGTGGAAGGGAATGAAATGGAATGGAGTAGAATGGAATGGAATGGAATGGAAGAAATTGGAATGGTGTATAATGGAGAGGAGTGGAATGGAGTGGAGTGGAATGGAGTAGAATGCAATAGAAAGGAATGGAGTGGAATTGAATGGAATGCAATTGAGTGGAATGGAGTGGAGAGGAGTGCAGTGGAATGCAGTGGAAAGGAATGGAATGGAATGGAGTGGAGTGGAATGGAATGGACTGGAATGGAATGGAATGGTACAGAATGGAACGGAACAGAATAGAATGGAGTGGAGCTGACTGGAGTGTAGTGGAGTTGAATGGAGTTGAACGGAGTGCAGTGGAATGGAATGGAATGGAGGGGAGTGGAGTGGAGTGGCGTGGAGTGGAG
>NT_187433.1:0-63448 GCF_000001405.40 Homo sapiens
TGATCTCTCTTTTTGCAGAATCTGCGAGTGGATATTTGGAGTGCTTGGAAGCCTGCTGTGGAAAATCAAATATCTTCACAAAAAAAACTACACAGAAGCATTCTGAGAAACTTCTTTGTGATGTGTGCATTGATCTCACAGAGTTGAAAGTTTATTTTGATTGAGCTGTTTTGAAACACTCTTTTTCTAGAATCTGCAAGTGGATAATTGGGGAGATTTGAGGCATATTGTGGAAAAGCAAATATCTTCATATAAAAACTATACAGAAACCTTCTGAGAAACATCTTTGTGATGTGTGCATTCAGCTCACAGAGCTGGACCTAACTTTTGAGTGACCAGTTTTGAATCTCTCTTTTTGTACAATATGCAAGTGGATATTTGGAGCGATTTGAGGCCTACATTTGAAAATCAAATATCTTCCCTTAAAAACTACACAGAAACATTCTCAGAAATTGTTTGTCATGTGTGCTTTCCAATTACCAAGTTGAACCTATCTTGTGATTGAGCAGTTTGGAATCTCTCTTTTTGTGGAATTGGCAAGTGGATATTTTTAGCCCTTTGCGGACTGTGGTGGAAAAGGAATTATCTTCAAATCAATTCTACACAGAAGCATTCAGACAAACTTCTTTGTGATGAGTGCATTGGTCACACAGAATTGAACCTTCCCTTTGATTGAGCAATTCTGAAACACTCTTTTGGAGGGTCTGCAAGTGGACATTTTAGAGCTTTGGGACAACTGTGGAAAAGTAAATATCTTCACATAAAAACTACACGGAAGCATTCTGAGAAACTTCTTTGGAGGTGTGCATTCAACTCACAGAGTTGAACCTATCTTTTCATTGAGCAGTTTTGAATCTCTCATTTTGTAGACTCTGCTCGCAGATATTTGGAGAGCTTTGAGGCCTATTGTGGAAAAGGAAATATCTTCACATAAAAACACACAGAAGCACTCTGAGAAACTTCTTTGTGAGGTGTGCTTTCAACTCACAGAGTTGAACCTATCTTTTGATTGAGAAGTTTTGAATCTCTCTTTTTGTAGAAGCTGCATGTGGATATTTGGAGACGTTTGTGGCCTATGGTAGAAAAGGAAATATCTTCAAATAAAAACTAGACAGACGCATTTTGAGAAAATTCTCTGTGCTGTGTGCATTCATATCACATGGTTGAAACTACCTTTGGATTGAGCAGTTTTGAATCTCACTTTTTGTACCATCTGCAATGGATATTTGGAGCCCTTTCTGGTCTGTGGTGGAAAAGGAACTATCCTCAAATAGAAACTACACAGAAGTACTCTGAGAAACTTCTTTGTGATGTGGGCATTCATCTCACAGAGTTGAACCTTTGGTTTGATTGAGCAGTTTTGAGACAATCTTTCCATAGAATCTGGAAGTGAATATTTGGAGAACTTTGAGATCCATTTTGGAGAAGGAGATATCTTTATATAAAAACTACACAGAAGCATTCTGAGAAACATCCTTGTGAGGTGTGCACTGAAGTCACAGAGTTGAAACTGTCTTTTGATTCAGCAGTTTTGAATCTCTCTTTTTGCAGAATCTGTGAGTGGATATTTGGAGCGCTTTGAGGCCTACTGTGGAAAACCAAATATCTTCACATAAAAACTACACAGAAGCATCCTGAGAAACTTTTTTTGTGATGTGGTCTTTCAGCTAATGGAGTAGAAACTATCTTTTGATTGAGCAGTTTTGAATCTCTCTTTTTGCAGGATCTACGAGTGGATAATTGGAGAACTTTGAGGCGTACTGTGGAAAATCGAATATCTTCGCATAAAAACTACACAGAAGCATTCTGAGAAACTTCTCTGTCATACGTACATTCATCTCACAGGGTTGATCCTATTTCATGATTGAGCAGTTTTGGAACACTCTTTTTGTAGAATCTGCAAGTGAATATTTGGAGCTCTTTGGGGCCTACTGTGGAAAAACAAATATCTTCACATAAAAACTACACAGAAGCATTCTGAGAAACTACTTTGTGATGTGTGCATTCATCCCACAGAGTAGAACCTTTCTTTTGATTGAGCAGTTTCGAAACACTCTTTTGGTGGAATCTGCAAGTGGACATTTGGAAAGCTTTGAGGCCTATTGTGGAAAGGGAAATATCTTCAAATAAAAACCACCCAGAAGTACTCTGTGAAACTTCTTTGCGATGTATGCATTCAACTCACAGTGTTGAACCTATGTTTTGATTGAGCAGTTTGGAATCTCTCTTTCTGTAGAATCTGCAAGTGAATATTTGGAGCCCTATTTCACCCTATACTGGAAAAGCAATTATCTTCAAATAAAAACTGCACAGAAGCACTCAGAGAAACTTCTTTGTGATGAATGCATTCATCACACAGAGTTGAACCTTTGTTTTGATTTAGCAGTTTTGAGACAATCTTTCCGTAGAATCTTGAAGTGAATATTTGGAGGGCTTGGAGTTCTGTTTTAGAGAAGAAGATATCTTCATCAAAAACTACACGGAAGCTTTCTGAGAAACTTCTTTGTGATGTGTGCATTCAACTATCGGAGTTGAACCTATCTTATGATTGAGGAGTTTGGAAACACTCTTTGTAGAGTCTGCAAGTGGATATTTACAGAGATTTGAGGCCTATTGTGGAAAAGGAAGTATCTTCACATAAAAACCACACAGAAGCACTCTGAAAAACATCTTTGGGATGTGTGCATTCAACTAACCGTGTTGAAACAATGTTTTGATTGAGCAGCTTAGAATCTCTCTTTTTGTAGGAAATGCAAGTGGATATTTGGAGCCCCATTTCGCCCTATGGTGGAAAACGAAACATACTCACAAAAAAGCTGCAGAGAAGCATTCTGAGAAACTTCTTTGCGATGTTGGCATTCAACTCACAGAGTCGAATCTATCTTTTGATAGAGCAGTTTTGTATCTCTCTTTTTGCAGAATCTGCAAGTGGATATTTGGAAAGCTTTGAGGCCTATTGTGGAAAGGGAAATATCCTCAAATAAAAACTACCCAGAAGCACTCTGTGAAACTTCTTTGTGATGTGTGCATTCAACTCACAGTGTTGAACCTATGTTTTGATTGAGCAGTTTGGAATCTCTCCTTTTGTAGAATCTGCAAGTGAATATTTGGAGCCCTATTTCGCCCTATACTGGAAAAGCAAATATCTTCAAATAAAAACTACACAGAGGCATTCAGAGAAACTTCTCTGTGATGAGTGCATTCATCACACAGAGTTGAACATTTGTTTAGATTTAGCAGTGTTGAGACAATCTTTCCGTAGAATCTTGAAGTGAATATTTGGAGGGCTTTGAGACCTGCTTTGGAGAAGGAGATATCTTCATATAAAAACTACACAGAAGCTTTCTGAGAAACACCCTTGTGAGGTGTGCATTGAAGTCACAGAGTTAAACCTATCTTTTGATTCAGCAGATTTGAATCTCTCTTTTTGCAGAATCTGCGAGTGGATATTTGGAGTGCTTGGAAGCCTGCTGTGGAAAATCAAATATCTTCACAAAAAAAACTACACAGAAGCATTCTGAGAAACTTCTTTGTGATGTGTGCATTGATCTCACAGAGTTGAAAGTTTATTTTGATTGAGCTGTTTTGAAACACTCTTTTTCTAGAATCTGCAAGTGGATAATTGGGGAGATTTGAGGCATATTGTGGAAAAGCAAATATCTTCATATAGAAACTATACAGAAACCTTCTGAGAAACATCTTTGTGATGTGTGCATTCAGCTCACAGAGCTGGACCTAACTTTTGAGTGACCAGTTTTGAATCTCTCTTTTTGTACAATATGCAAGTGGATATTTGGAGCGATTTGAGGCCTACATTTGAAAATCAAATATCTTCCCTTAAAAACTACACAGAAACATTCTCAGAAATTGTTTGTCATGTGTGATTTCCAATTACCAAGTTGAACCTATCTTGTGATTGAGCAGTTTTGAATCTCTCTTTTTGTGGAATCGGCAAGTGGATATTTTTAGCCCTTTGCGGACTGTGGTGGAAAAGGAATTATCTTCAAATCAATTCTACACAGAAGCATTCAGACAAACTTCTTTGTGATGAGTGCATTGGTCACACACAATTGAACCTTCCTTTTGATTGAGCAATTCTGAAACACTCTTTTGGAGGGTCTGCAAGTGGACATTTTGGAGCTTTGTGACAACTGTGGAAAAGTAAATATCTTCACATAAAAACTACACGGAAGCATTCTGAGAAACTTCTTTGGAGGTGTGCATTCAACTCACAGAGTTGAACCTATCTTTTGATTGAGAAGTTTGGAATCTCTCTTTTTGTAGAAGCTGCATGTGGATATTTGGAGACGTTTGTGGCCTATGGTAGAAAAGGAATATCTTCAAATAAAAACTAGACAGACGCATTTTGAGAAAATTCTCTGTGCTGTGTGCCTTCATATCACCTGGTTGAAACTACCTTTGGATTGAGCAGTTTTGAATCTCACTTTTTGTACCATCTGCAATGGATATTTGGAGCCCTTTCTGGTCTGTGGTGGAAAAGGAACTATCCTCAAATAGAAACTACACAGAAGTACTCTGAGAAACTTCTTTGTGATGTGGGCATTCATCTCACAGAGTTGAACCTTTGGTTTGATTGAGCAGTTTTGAGACAATCTTTCCATAGAATCTGGAAGTGAATATTTGGAGAACTTTGAGATCCATTTTGGAGAAGGAGATATCTTTATATAAAAACTACACAGAAGCATTCTGAGAAACATCCTTGTGAGGTGTGCACTGAAGTCACAGAGTTGAAACTGTCTTTTGATTCAGCAGTTTTGAATCTCTCTTTTTGCAGAATCTGTGAGTGGATATTTGGAGCGCTTTGAGGCCTACTGTGGAAAACCAAATATCTTCACATAAAAACTACACAGAAGCATCCTGAGAAACTTTTTTTGTGATGTGGTCTTTCAGCTAATGGAGTAGAAACTATCTTTTGATTGAGCAGTTTTGAATCTCTCTTTTTGCAGGATCTACGAGTGGATAATTGGAGAACTTTGAGGCGTACTGTGGAAAATCGAATATCTTCGCATAAAAACTACACAGAAGCATTCTGAGAAACTTCTCTGTCATACGTACATTCATCTCACAGGGTTGATCCTATTTCATGATTGAGCAGTTTTGGAACACTCTTTTTGTAGAATCTGCAAGTGAATATTTGGAGCTCTTTGGGGCCTACTGTGGAAAAACAAATATCTTCACATAAAAACTACACAGAAGCATTCTGAGAAACTACTTTGTGATGTGTGCATTCATCCCACAGAGTAGAACCTTTCTTTTGATTGAGCAGTTTCGAAACACTCTTTTGGTGGAATCTGCAAGTGGACATTTGGAAAGCTTTGAGGCCTATTGTGGAAAGGGAAATATCTTCAAATAAAAACCACCCAGAAGTACTCTGTGAAACTTCTTTGCGATGTATGCATTCAACTCACAGTGTTGAACCTATGTTTTGATTGAGCAGTTTGGAATCTCTCTTTCTGTAGAATCTGCAAGTGAATATTTGGAGCCCTATTTCGCCCTATACTGGAAAAGCAATTATCTTCAAATAAAAACTGCACAGAAGCACTCAGAGAAACTTCTTTGTGATGAATGCATTCATCACACAGAGTTGAACCTTTGTTTTGATTTAGCAGTTTGAGACAATCTTTCCGTAGAATCTTGAAGTGAATATTTGGAGGGCTTGGAGTTCTGTTTTAGAGAAGAAGATATCTTTATCAAAAACTACACAGAAGCTTTCTGAGAAACTTCTTTGTGATGTGTGCATTCAACTATCGGAGTTGAACCTATCTTATGATTGAGGAGTTTGGAAACACTCTTTGTAGAGTCTGCAAGTGGATATTTACAGAGATTTGAGGCCTATTGTGGAAAAGGAAGTATCTTCACATAAAAACCACACAGAAGCACTCTGAAAAACATCTTTGGGATGTGTGCATTCAACTAACCGTGTTGAAACAATGTTTTGATTGAGCAGCTTAGAATCTCTCTTTTTGTAGGAAATGCAAGTGGATATTTGGAGCCCCATTTCGCCCTATGGTGGAAAACGAAACATACTCACAAAAAAGCTGCAGAGAAGCATTCTGAGAAACTTCTTTGCGATGTTGGCATTCAACTCACAGAGTCGAATCTATCTTTTGATAGAGCAGTTTTGTATCTCTCTTTTTGCAGAATCTGCAAGTGGATATTTGGAAAGCTTTGAGGCCTATTGTGGAAAGGGAAATATCCTCAAATAAAAACTACCCAGAAGCACTCTGTGAAACTTCTTTGTGATGTGTGCATTCAACTCACAGTGTTGAACCTATGTTTTGATTGAGCAGTTTGGAATCTCTCCTTTTGTAGAATCTGCAAGTGAATATTTGGAGCCCTATTTCGCCCTATACTGGAAAAGCAAATATCTTCAAATAAAAACTACACAGAGGCATTCAGAGAAACTTCTCTGTGATGAGTGCATTCATCACACAGAGTTGAACATTTGTTTAGATTTAGCAGTGTTGAGACAATCTTTCCGTAGAATCTTGAAGTGAATATTTGGAGGGCTTTGAGACCTGCTTTGGAGAAGGAGATATCTTCATATAAAAACTACACAGAAGCTTTCTGAGAAACACCCTTGTGAGGTGTGCATTGAAGTCACAGAGTTAAACCTATCTTTTGATTCAGCAGATTTGAATCTCTCTTTTTGCAGAATCTGCGAGTGGATATTTGGAGTGCTTGGAAGCCTGCTGTGGAAAATCAAATATCTTCACAAAAAAAACTACACAGAAGCATTCTGAGAAACTTCTTTGTGATGTGTGCATTGATCTCACAGAGTTGAAAGTTTATTTTGATTGAGCTGTTTTGAAACACTCTTTTTCTAGAATCTGCAAGTGGATAATTGGGGAGATTTGAGGCATATTGTGGAAAAGCCAATATCTTCATATAAAAACTATACAGAAACCTTCTGAGAAACATCTTTGTGATGTGTGCATTCAGCTCACAGAGCTGGACCTAACTTTTGAGTGACCAGTTTTGAATCTCTCTTTTTGTACAATATGCAAGTGGATATTTGGAGCGATTTGAGGCCTACATTTGAAAATCAAATATCTTCCCTTAAAAACTACACAGAAACATTCTCAGAAATTGTTTGTCATGTGTGCTTTCCAATTACCAAGTTGAACCTATCTTGTGATTGAGCAGTTTTGAATCTCTCTTTTTGTGGAATCGGCAAGTGGATATTTTTAGCCCTTTGCGGACTGTGGTGGAAAAGGAATTATCTTCAAATCAATTCTACACAGAAGCATTCAGACAAACTTCTTTGTGATGAGTGCATTGGTCACACAGAATTGAACCTTCCCTTTGATTGAGCAATTCTGAAACACTCTTTTGGAGGGTCTGCAAGTGGATATTTTAGAGCTTTGGGACAACTGTGGAAAAGTAAATATCTTCACATAAAAACTACACGGAAGCATTCTGAGAAACTTCTTTGGAGGTGTGCATTCAACTCACAGAGTTGAACCTATCTTTTCATTGAGCAGTTTTGAATCTCTCATTTTGTAGACTCTGCTCGCAGATATTTGGAGAGCTTTGAGGCCTGTTGTGGAAAAGGAAATATCTTCACATAAAAACACACAGAAGCACTCTGAGAAACTTCTTTGTGAGGTGTGCTTTCAACTCACAGAGTTGAACCTATCTTTTGATTGAGAAGTTTTGAATCTCTCTTTTTGTAGAAGCTGCATGTGGATATTTGGAGACGTTTGTGGCCTATGGTAGAAAAGGAAATATCTTCAAATAAAAACTAGACAGACGCATTTTGAGAAAATTATCTGTGCTGTGTGCATTCATATCACATGGTTGAAACTACCTTTGGATTGAGCAGTTTTGAATCTCACTTTTTGTACCATCTGCAATGGATATTTGGAGCCCTTTCTGGTCTGTGGTGGAAAAGGAACTATCCTCAAATAGAAACTACACAGAAGTACTCTGAGAAACTTCTTTGTGATGTGGGCATTCATCTCACAGAGTTGAACCTTTGGTTTGATTGAGCAGTTTTGAGACAATCTTTCCATAGAATCTGGAAGTGAATATTTGGAGAACTTTGAGATCCATTTTGGAGAAGGAGATATCTTTATATAAAAACTACACAGAAGCATTCTGAGAAACATCCTTGTGAGGTGTGCACTGAAGTCACAGAGTTGAAACTGTCTTTTGATTCAGCAGTTTTGAATCTCTCTTTTTGCAGAATCTGTGAGTGGATATTTGGAGCGCTTTGAGGCCTACTGTGGAAAACCAAATATCTTCACATAAAAACTACACAGAAGCATCCTGAGAAACTTTTTTTGTGATGTGGTCTTTCAGCTAATGGAGTAGAAACTATCTTTTGATTGAGCAGTTTTGAATCTCTCTTTTTGCAGGATCTACGAGTGGATAATTGGAGAACTTTGAGGCGTACTGTGGAAAGTCGAATATCTTCGCATAAAAACTACACAGAAGCATTCTGAGAAACTTCTCTGTCATACGTACATTCATCTCACAGGGTTGATCCTATTTCATGATTGAGCAGTTTTGGAACACTCTTTTTGTAGAATCTGCAAGTGAATATTTGGAGCTCTTTGGGGCCTACTGTGGAAAAACAAATATCTTCACATAAAAACTACACAGAAGCATTCTGAGAAACTACTTTGTGATGTGTGCATTCATCCCACAGAGTAGAACCTTTCTTTTGATTGAGCAGTTTCGAAACACTCTTTTGGTGGAATCTGCAAGTGGACATTTGGAAAGCTTTGAGGCCTATTGTGGAAAGGGAAATATCTTCAAATAAAAACCACCCAGAAGTACTCTGTGAAACTTCTTTGCGATGTATGCATTCAACTCACAGTGTTGAACCTATGTTTTGATTGAGCAGTTTGGAATCTCTCTTTCTGTAGAATCTGCAAGTGAATATTTGGAGCCCTATTTCGCCCTATACTGGAAAAGCAATTATCTTCAAATAAAAACTGCACAGAAGCACTCAGAGAAACTTCTTTGTGATGAATGCATTCATCACACAGAGTTGAACCTTTGTTTTGATTTAGCAGTTTGAGACAATCTTTCCGTAGAATCTTGAAGTGAATATTTGGAGGGCTTGGAGTTCTGTTTTAGAGAAGAAGATATCTTCATCAAAAACTACACGGAAGCTTTCTGAGAAACTTCTTTGTGATGTGTGCATTCAACTATCGGAGTTGAACCTATCTTATGATTGAGGAGTTTGGAAACACTCTTTGTAGAGTCTGCAAGTGGATATTTACAGAGATTTGAGGCCTATTGTGGAAAAGGAAGTATCTTCACATAAAAACCACACAGAAGCACTCTGAAAAACATCTTTGGGATGTGTGCATTCAACTAACCGTGTTGAAACAATGTTTTGATTGAGCAGCTTAGAATCTCTCTTTTTGTAGGAAATGCAAGTGGATATTTGGAGCCCCATTTCGCCCTATGGTGGAAAACGAAACATACTCACAAAAAAGCTGCAGAGAAGCATTCTGAGAAACTTCTTTGCGATGTTGGCATTCAACTCACAGAGTCGAATCTATCTTTTGATAGAGCAGTTTTGTATCTCTCTTTTTGCAGAATCTGCAAGTGGATATTTGGAAAGCTTTGAGGCCTATTGTGGAAAGGGAAATATCCTCAAATAAAAACTACCCAGAAGCACTCTGTGAAACTTCTTTGTGATGTGTGCATTCAACTCACAGTGTTGAACCTATGTTTTGATTGAGCAGTTTGGAATCTCTCCTTTTGTAGAATCTGCAAGTGAATATTTGGAGCCCTATTTCGCCCTATACTGGAAAAGCAAATATCTTCAAATAAAAACTACACAGAGGCATTCAGAGAAACTTCTCTGTGATGAGTGCATTCATCACACAGAGTTGAACATTTGTTTAGATTTAGCAGTGTTGAGACAATCTTTCCGTAGAATCTTGAAGTGAATATTTGGAGGGCTTTGAGACCTGCTTTGGAGAAGGAGATATCTTCATATAAAAACTACACAGAAGCTTTCTGAGAAACACCCTTGTGAGGTGTGCATTGAAGTCACAGAGTTAAACCTATCTTTTGATTCAGCAGATTTGAATCTCTCTTTTTGCAGAATCTGCGAGTGGATATTTGGAGTGCTTGGAAGCCTGCTGTGGAAAATCAAATATCTTCACAAAAAAAACTACACAGAAGCATTCTGAGAAACTTCTTTGTGATGTGTGCATTGATCTCACAGAGTTGAAAGTTTATTTTGATTGAGCTGTTTTGAAACACTCTTTTTCTAGAATCTGCAAGTGGATAATTGGGGAGATTTGAGGCATATTGTGGAAAAGCAAATATCTTCATATAAAAACTATACAGAAACCTTCTGAGAAACATCTTTGTGATGTGTGCATTCAGCTCACAGAGCTGGACCTAACTTTTGAGTGACCAGTTTTGAATCTCTCTTTTTGTACAATATGCAAGTGGATATTTGGAGCGATTTGAGGCCTACATTTGAAAATCAAATATCTTCCCTTAAAAACTACACAGAAACATTCTCAGAAATGTTTGTCATGTGTGCTTTCCAATTACCAAGTTGAACCTATCTTGTGATTGAGCAGTTTTGAATCTCTCTTTTTGTGGATCGGCAAGTGGATATTTTTAGCCCTTTGCGGACTGTGGTGGAAAAGGAATTATCTTCAAATCAATTCTACACAGAAGCATTCAGACAAACTTCTTTGTGATGAGTGCATTGGTCACACAGAATTGAACCTTCCTTTTGATTGAGCAATTCTGAAACACTCTTTTGGAGGGTCTGCAAGTGGATATTTTAGAGCTTTGGGACAACTGTGGAAAAGTAAATATCTTCACATAAAAACTACACGGAAGCATTCTGAGAAACTTCTTTGGAGGTGTGCATTCAACTCACAGAGTTGAACCTATCTTTTCATTGAGCAGTTTTGAATCTCTCATTTTGTAGACTCTGCTCGCAGATATTTGGAGAGCTTTGAGGCCTGTTGTGGAAAAGGAAATATCTTCACATAAAAACACACAGAAGCACTCTGAGAAACTTCTTTGTGAGGTGTGCTTTCAACTCACAGAGTTGAACCTATCTTTTGATTGAGAAGTTTTGAATCTCTCTTTTTGTAGAAGCTGCATGTGGATATTTGGAGACGTTTGTGGCCTGTGGTAGAAAAGGAAATATCTTCAAATAAAAACTAGACAGACGCATTTTGAGAAAATTCTCTGTGCTGTGTGCCTTCATATCACCTGGTTGAAACTACCTTTGGATTGAGCAGTTTTGAATCTCACTTTTTGTACCATCTGCAATGGATATTTGGAGCCCTTTCTGGTCTGTGGTGGAAAAGGAACTATCCTCAAATAGAAACTACACAGAAGTACTCTGAGAAACTTCTTTGTGATGTGTGCATTCATCTCACAGAGTTGAACCTTTGGTTTGATTGAGCAGTTTTGAGACAATCTTTCCATAGAATCTGGAAGTGAATATTTGGAGAACTTTGAGATCCATTTTGGAGAAGGAGATATCTTTATATAAAAACTACACAGAAGCATTCTGAGAAACATCCTTGTGAGGTGTGCACTGAAGTCACAGAGTTGAAACTGTCTTTTGATTCAGCAGTTTTGAATCTCTCTTTTTGCAGAATCTGTGAGTGGATATTTGGAGCGCTTTGAGGCCTACTGTGGAAAACCAAATATCTTCACATAAAAACTACACAGAAGCATCCTGAGAAACTTTTTTTGTGATGTGGTCTTTCAGCTAATGGAGTAGAAACTATCTTTTGATTGAGCAGTTTTGAATCTCTCTTTTTGCAGGATCTACGAGTGGATAATTGGAGAACTTTGAGGCGTACTGTGGAAAGTCGAATATCTTCGCATAAAAACTACACAGAAGCATTCTGAGAAACTTCTCTGTCATACGTACATTCATCTCACAGGGTTGATCCTATTTCATGATTGAGCAGTTTTGGAACACTCTTTTTGTAGAATCTGCAAGTGAATATTTGGAGCTCTTTGGGGCCTACTGTGGAAAAACAAATATCTTCACATAAAAACTACACAGAAGCATTCTGAGAAACTACTTTGTGATGTGTGCATTCATCCCACAGAGTAGAACCTTTCTTTTGATTGAGCAGTTTCGAAACACTCTTTTGGTGGAATCTGCAAGTGGACATTTGGAAAGCTTTGAGGCCTATTGTGGAAAGGGAAATATCTTCAAATAAAAACCACCCAGAAGTACTCTGTGAAACTTCTTTGCGATGTATGCATTCAACTCACAGTGTTGAACCTATGTTTTGATTGAGCAGTTTGGAATCTCTCTTTCTGTAGAATCTGCAAGTGAATATTTGGAGCCCTATTTCGCCCTATACTGGAAAAGCAATTATCTTCAAATAAAAACTGCACAGAAGCACTCAGAGAAACTTCTTTGTGATGAATGCATTCATCACACAGAGTTGAACCTTTGTTTTGATTTAGCAGTTTGAGACAATCTTTCCGTAGAATCTTGAAGTGAATATTTGGAGGGCTTGGAGTTCTGTTTTAGAGAAGAAGATATCTTCATCAAAAACTACACAGAAGCTTTCTGAGAAACTTCTTTGTGATGTGTGCATTCAACTATCGGTGTTGAACCTATCTTATGATTGAGCAGTTTGGAAACAGGCTTTGTAGAGTCTGCAAGTGGATATTTACAGAGATTTGAGGCCTATTGTGGAAAAGGAAATATCTTCACTTAAAAACTAAACAGAACATTTCTGAGAAACTTCTGTGGGAAGTGTGCATTCAACTAACAGTGTTGAAACTATCTTTTGATTGGGCAGCTTAGAATCTCTCTTTTTGTAGAAAATGCAAGTGGATATTTGGAGCCCCATTTCGCCCTATTGTGGGAAACGAAACATATTCACAAAAGAGCTACACAGAAGCATTCTGAGAAACTTCTTTCCGACGTTTGCATTCAACTCACAGAGTCGAATCTATCTTTTGATAGAGCAGTTTTGTATCTCTCTTTTTGCAGAATCTGCAAGTGGATATTTGGAAAGCTTTGAGGCCTATTGTGGAAAGGGAAATATCCTCAAATTAAAACTACCCAGAAGCACTCTGTGAAACTTCTTTGCGATGTGTGCATTCAACTCACATTGCTGAACCTATGTTTTGATTGAGCGGTTTGGAATCTCTCCTTTCGTAGAATCTGCAAGTGAATATTTGGAGCCCTGTTTCGCCCTATACTGGAAAGGCAAATATCGTCAAATAAAAACTACACAGAAGCATTCAGGGAAACTTCTCTGTGATGAGTGCATTCATCACACAGTGTTGAACCTTTGTTTTGATTTAGCAGTGTTGAGACAATCTTTCCGTAGAATCTTGAAGTGAATATTTGGAGGGCTTTGAGATCTGCTTTGGAGAAGGGGATATCTTCATATAAAAACTACACAGAAGCTTTCTGAGAAACACCCTTGTGAGGTGTGCATTGAAGTCACAGAGTTAAACCTATCTTTTGATTCAGCAGATTTGAATCTCTCTTTTTGCAGAATCTGCGAGTGGATATTTGGAGTGCTTTGAAGCCTACTGTGGAAATTCAAATATCTTCACAAAAAAAACTACACAGAAGCATTCTGAGAAACTTCTTTGTGATGTGTGCATTGATCTCACAGAGTTGAAAGCTTATTTTGATTGAGCAGATTTGAAACACTCTTTTTGTAGAATCTGCAAGTGGATATTTGGAACACTTTGTGGTCTAATGTGGAAAATCAAATATCTTCACATAAAAACTACACAGAGGTATTCTGAGAAACTTCTTTTTTCTGTGTGCCTTCAACTCAAATAGTTGAAGTTATCTTTGATTTAGCTGTTTTGCATCTCCTTTTTGCAGAATCTGCAAGTTGATACTTGGAGCCCTGTTTCACCCGATAGTGGAAAAGCAAATGTCTTCCCATAAACAAACACTACAGAGAAGCATTCAGAGAAAGTTCTTTGTGATGTGTGCATTGAACATGCAGAGTTGAAACTATCTTTTGATTGTACAGTTTTGAATATCTCTTTTTGTAGAATCTGCAAGTGGAAGTTTGGAGCTCTTTGCACCCTGTGGTGTAAAAGGAAATATCTTCATATGAAAACTACACAGAAGCATTCAGAGAGACTTCTTTGTGATGAATGCGTTCCTCACACAGAGTTGAATCTTCCTTTTTATTGAGTAGTATTGAAACCCTCTTTTTGCAGAATAACCAGGTGGATATTTGGAGAGCTTTGAGGCCTGTTTTGGAAAAGGAAATATCTTCAAATTAAAACCACACAGAAGCATTCTGACAAACTTCTTTGTGATGTGTGCATTCAACTCTCAGAGTTGAACATATCTTATGATGGAGCAGTTTGCAAACACTCTTTTTGTAGAAACTGCAAGTGGATATTTAGTGCGATTTGAGGCCTACTGTGGAAAAGCAAATATCTTCACATAAAATCTACATAGAGGCACTCTAAGAAACTTCTTTTTGATGTGTGTATTCAACTCACAGAGCTGAACCTATCTTTTGAGTGACCAGTTTTGAATCTCTCTTTTTGTACAATCTGCATTTGGATATTTGGAGCCCTTTGCGGCCTATGGTGGAAAAGGAAATATCTTCAAATAAAAACTACACAGAAGCATTCTGAGAAACTTCTTTGTGATGTGTACGTATATCTCGCAGAGTTGACACTTTCTTTTGATTGAGCAGTTTTGAAACACTGCCTTTGTAGAGTCTGGAAGTTGATATTTGGAGGGCTTTGAGGTCTATTTTGGAAAAGAAAATATATTCACTTAAAAACTATGCAGAAATACTGTGAGAAACTTCTTTGTTATGTGAGCATTCAACTCACAGAGTTGAACCTATCTTTTGAATGAGCAGTTTTGAATCTCTCATTTTGCTGTATCTGCAAGAGGATATTTGGAGCCCTTTGCTACCTATGGTGGAAAAGAAACTACCTTCAAATAAAAACTACACAGAGGCATTCTGAGAAACTTCTTTGTGATTGTGCATTCAACTCACAGAATTAAACCTATCTTATGACTGACCAGTTTTGGAACACTCTTTTCATAGGATCTGCAAGTGGATATTTGGTGTGCTTTGAGGCCTATCGTGGGAAAGCAAATAGCTTCAGATAAAAACTATACAGAAGCATTCTGAGAAACTTCTTTGTGATGTGTGCATTGATCTCACAGAGTTGAAAGTGTATTTTGATTGAGCAGTTTTGAAACACTCTTTTTGTAGAATCTGCAAGTGGATAATTGGGGAGATTTGAGGCATATTGTGGAAAAGCAAATATCTTCATATAAAAATTATACAGAAGCCTTCTGAGAAACATCTTTGTGAGGTTTGCATTCAACTCACAGAGCTGGACCTATCTTTTGAGTGACCAGTTTTGAAACTCTCTTTTTGTACAATCTGCAAGTGCATATTTGGAGCGATTTGAGGCCTACATTTGAAAATCAAATATCTTCCCTTAAAAACAACACAAACATTCTCAGAAATTGTTTGTCATGTGTGCTTTCAAATCACCAAGTTGAACCTATCTTGTGATTGAGCAGTTTTGAATCTCTCTTTTTGTGGAATCGGCAAGTGGATATTTTTAGCCCTTTGCGGACTGTGGTGGAAAAGGAATTATCTTCAAATCAATTCTACACAGAAGCATTCCGACAAACTTCTTTGTGATGAGTGCATTGGTCACACAGAATTGAACCTTTCCTTTGATTGAGCAATTCTGAAACACTCTTTTAGAGGGTCTGCAAGTGGATATTTTAGAGCTTTGGGACAATTGTGGAAAAGTAAATATCTTCACATAAAAACTACACGGAAGTATTCTGAGAAACTTCTTTGGAGGTGTGCATTCAACTCACAGAGTTGAACCTATCTTTTCATGGAGCAGTTTTGAATCTCTCTTTTTGTAGACTCTGCTTGCAGATATTTGGAGAGCTTTGAGGCCTATTGTGGAAAAGGAAATATCTTCACCTAAAAGCTACACAGAAGCATTCTGAGAAACTTCTTTGGGATGTGTGCATTCAACTAACAGGGGTGAACCTATCTTTTGATTGAGCAGCTTAGAATCTCTCTTTTTGTAGAAAATGCAAGTGGATATTTGGAGCCCCATTTCGCCATATGGTGGAAAATGAAACATATTCACAAAGAAGCTACACAGAAGCATTCTGAGAAACTTCTTTGCATTGTTTGCATTCAACTCACAGAGTCGAATCTATCTTTTGATAGAGCAGTTTTGTATCTCTCTTTTTGCAGAATCTGCAAGTGGATATTTGGAAAGCTTTGAGGCCTATTGTGGAAAGGGAAATATCCCCAAATGAAAACTACCCAGAAGCACTCTGTGAAACTTCTTTGTGATGTGTGCATTCAACTCACAGTGTTGAACCTATGTTTTGATTGAGCAGTTTGGAATCTCTCTTTTTGTAGAATCTGCAAGTGAATATTTGGAGCCCTATTTCACCCTATACTGGAAAAGCAAATATCTTCAAATAAAAACTACACAGAAGCATTCAGAGAAACTTCTTTGTGATGAGTGCATGCATCACACAGGGTTGAACCTTTGTTTTGATTTAGCAGTGTTGAGACAATCTTTCCGTAGTATCTTGAAGTGAATATTTGGAGGGGTTTGAGATCTGCTTTGGAGAAGGAGATATCTTCATATAAAAACTACACAGAAGCTTTCTGAGAAACACCCTTGTGAGGTGTGCATTGAAGTCACAGTGTTAAACCTATCTTTTGATTCAGCAGATTTGAATCTCTCTTTTTGCAGAATCTGCGAGTGGATATTTGGAGTGCTTTGAAGCCTACTGTGGAAAATCAAATATCTTCACAAAAAAACTACACAGAAGCATTCTGAGAAACTTCTTTGTGATGTGTGCTTTGGACTCACACAGTTGAACCTATCTTTTGATTGAGCAGTTTTGAGTCTCTCTTTTTGCAGAATCTGCAAGTGGATATTTGGAACCCTTTGAGGCATTCTGTGGAAAATCAAATATCTTCCCATAGAAACTACACAGAAGATTTCTGAGAAACTACTTTGTGATGTGTGCGTTCATCTCACAGAGTTGAACCTTTGGTTTGATTGAGCAGTTTTGAGACAATCTTTCCATAGAATCTGGAAGTGAATATTTGGAGAACTTTCGGATCTATTTTGGAGAAGGAGATATCTTCATATAAAAACTACACAAAAGCATTCTGGGAAACAACTTTGTGAGGTGTGCACTGAAGTCACAGAGTTGAAACTATCTTTTGATTCAGCAGTTTTGAGTCTCTCTTTTTGCAGAATCTGCGAGTGGATATTTGGAGCGCTTTGAGGCCTACTGTGGAAAATCAAATATCTTCCCATAGAAACTACACAGAAGACTTCTGAGAAACTACTTTCTGATGTGTGCATTCAACTCTCAGAGTCGAAACTATCTTTTGATTGAGCAGTTTTGAGTCTCTCTTTTTGCAGAATCTGCAAGTGGATATCTGGAGAACTTTGAGGCCTATTTGGAAAAGGAAATATCTTCACATTAAAACTACGCAGAAGCATTTTGAGAAACTTCTTTGTGAGGTGTGCATTCAACTCACAGAGTTGAACTTATCTTTTCATGGAGCACTTTCATATCTCTTGTTATGTAGAATCTGCAAGTGGATATTTGGAGCTCTTTGCACCCTGTGGTGGAAAGGGAAATATCTTCATATAAAAACTACAATGAAGCATTCAGAGAAACTTCTTTGTGATGAATGCATTCCTCACACAGAGTTGGACCTTTCTTTTTATTGAGCAGTATTGAAACACTCTTTTTGCAGAATCACCAAGTGAATACTTGGAGAGCTTTGGGGCCTGTTTTGGACAATGAAATATCTTCAAAGTAAAACTACACAGAACCATTCTGAGAAACTTCTTTATGATGTGTGCATTCAACTCTCAGAGTTGAAGCTACCTTATGATTGAGCAATTTGGAAACACTCTTTTTGTAGAGTCTGCAAGTGGATATTTAGAACGATTTGAGGCCTATTGTGGAAAAGCAAATATCTTCACATAAAAACTACAGAGAAGCATTCTGAGAAACTTCTTTGGGATGTGTGCATTCAACTAACAGTGTTGAACCTATCTTTTGATTGAGCAGCTTAGAATCTCTCTTTTTGTAGAAAATGCAAGTAGATATTTGGAGCCCCATTTCGCCCTATGGTAGAAAACAAAACATCTTCACATAAAAACTACACAGAAGGATTCTGAGAAACTTCTTTGTGATGTTTGCTTTCAACTCACAGAGTTGAACATATCTTTTAATTGAGTAGTTTTGAATCTCCCTTTTCGCAGAATCTGCAAGTGGATATTTGGAGCACTTTGAGGCCTACTGTGGAAAATCAATTATCTTCCCATAAAAACTACACAGAAGTAGTCTGAGACACTCCTTTGTGATGTGTGCATTCAACTCACAGTGTCGAACATATCTTTTGAATGAACAGTTTTGAATCTCTCTTTTTGAAGAATCTGCAAGTGGATATTTGGAGAGCTTTGAGGCCTATTTTGGAAAAGGAAATATCTTCACATAAAAACTACATAGAAGCATTCTGAAAAACTTCTTTGTGAGTTGTGCATTCAACTCACAGAGTTGAACTTATCTTGTCATTGAGCACTTTTGAATCTCTCTTTTTGTAGAATCTGCAAGTGGATATTTTGAGTCCTTTGTGCCCTATGGTGGAATAGGAAATATCTTCAAATAAAAACTACGCAGAACCGTTCAGAGAAACTTCTTTGTGATGAATGCATTCCTCACACAGAGTTGAACCTTTCTTTATATTGAGCAGTTTTGAAACACCCTTTTTGCAGAATGACCAATTGGATATTTGGAGAGTTTTGAGTCCTATTGTGTGAAAGGAAATATCCTCAAATAAAAACTATACAGAAGCATTCTGAGAAACTTCATTGTGATGTGTGCATTCAACTCACAGAGATGAACCTATCTTTTGACTGAGCAGTTTTGAATCAATCTCTGTTTTTGTAGGGTCTGTAAATGGATATTTGGAGCCCTTTGTGCCCTATGGTGTAAAAGGAAATATCTTCATATAACAACTACACAGGAGCATTCAGAGAAACTTCTTTGTGATGAATACATTCCTCACACGGAGTTGAACCTTTCCTTTTATTGAGCAGTTTTGAAACATCCTTTTTGAAGGATGACCTAGTGGATATGTGTAGAGTTTGGGGCCTATTGTGGAAAAGGAAATATCTTCACATTAAAACTACGTGGAAGCATTCTGAGAAACTTGTTTGTGATGAGTGCATTCATCACACAGAGTTGAACCTTTATTTTTATTGAGTAGTTTTGAAACACTCTTTTTGCAGTATCAGCAAGTGGATATTTGGAGAGCTTTGAGGCCTGTTGTGGAAAAGGAAATATCTTCAAATAAAAACTACACTGAAGCATTCTGAGAACCTTCTTTTTGATGTGTGCGTTCATATCACAGGTTTTAACCTAACTTATGATTGAGCAGTTTTTAAACACTCTTTTTGTAGAATCTGCAAGTAGATATTTGGAGCGATTTGAGGCCTATTGTAGAAAAGGAAATATCAACAAATAAATACTACACAGAAGCATTCAGAAAAACTTCTTTGTTGTGAGTGCATTCATCACACAGATTTGAACCTTTCCTTTGACTGAACAGTTTTGAAACACTCTTTTTGCAGAATCTGCAAGTGCATATTTTAGAGCTTTGAGGACAACTGTGGAAAAGGAAATATCTTCACATAAACACTACACAGAAGATTCTGAGACACTTCTTCGTGATGTGTGCATTCACCTCACTGGGTTGTACCTATCTTATGATTGAGTAGTTTAGAAACACTCTTTTTGTAGAATATGCAAGTGTATATTTGGAGCACATTGGGGCCTACCGTGGAAAAGGAAATATCTTCACATAAAAACTACACAGAAGCATTCTGAGAATCTTTTTTTTGATGTGTGCATTCATCTCACAGAGATGAACCTTTCTTTTGATTAAGCAGTTTTGAAACTCTATATTTGTAGAATCTGCAAGTGGATATTTTGAGAGCTTTGAGTCTTATTTTGGAAAAGGAAATATCTTCACATAAAAACTACACAGAAGCATTCTGAGAAACTTCTTTTTGAGGTGTGCATTCAATTCACGGATTTGAACTTTTCTCTTCATTGAGCACTTTTGAATCTCTCTTTTTCTAGAATCTGCAAGTGGATATTTGGAGCTCTTTGCACCCTGTGTTGGAAAATGAAATATCTTCAAATAAAAACTACACATAAGCATTCTGAGAAAATTCTTTGTTTTGAGTGCATTCATCACACAGAGTTGAACGTTTCCTTTGATTGAGCAGTTTTGAAACACTCTTTTCGTATAATCTGGAAGTGGATATTTGGAGGGCTTTGAGGCTTATTTTGGAAAAGAAAATATCTTCACATAAAAACTACACATTGGCATTCTGAGAAGCTTCTTTTTTATTTGTGCATTCAACTCACAGAATTGAATCTATCTTTTGATTGAGCCGTTTGGAATCTCTCTTTTGTAGAATCTGTTAGTGAATATTTGGAGACGTTTGTGGCCTATTGTGGAAAAAGAAATATCTTCAAATAAGAACTACATGGTAGAATTCTGGGAAACTTCTTTGTGATGTGTGCATTCAACTCACACGTTTGAACCTATCTTATGATTGAGCAGTTTTCAATCTCTCTTCTTGTAGAATATGCAAGTGGATATTTGGAGCCCTTTGTGCCCTATGGTTGAAAAGGAAACATCTTCAAATACAAACTACACAGAAGCATTCAGAGAAACGCCTTTGTGATGACTGCAATGATCACAAAGAGTTTAAAGTTTCTTTTGACTGAGCAGTTTTGATACACTCTTTTTGAAGAAACTCAAAGTAGCTATTTGGAGGGCTTTGAGGCCTATTTTGGGAAAGGATATATCTTAACATAAAAACTACACAGAATTATTCTGAGAAACTCCTTTGTTATGTGTGCATTCAACACACAGAGTTGAGCCTATCTTTTGATTGAGCAGTTTTCAATCTCTCTTTTTGCAGAATATGCAAGTGGATATTTGTAGCACTTTGAGGCCTACTGTGGAAAAGCAAATATCTTCAAATAAAAACTACACAGAAGCATTCTGAGAAACTTTTTTGTGAGGTGTGTATTCAACTCACAGAGTCGAATCTTTCTTTTGATTGAGCAGTTTTCAATCTCTCTTTTTGCAGAATCTGCAAGTGGATATTTGGAGTGCTTTGCAGCCTATTGTGGAAAAGGAAATATCTTCAAATAAATACTACACAGAAGAATTCTGGGAAACTTCTTTATGATGTGTACATTCAGCTCACAAGTTTGAACCTATCTTATGATTGAGCAGTTTTGAATCTCTCTTTTTGTAGAATCTGCAAGTGGATATTTGGAGCCATTTTTGCCCTATGCTTGAAAAGGAAATATCTTCAAATAAAAACTACACAGCAGCATTCAGAGAAACTCCTTTGTGTGAGCGCATTGATCACAAAGAGTTCAAAGTTTCTTTTGATTGAGCAGTTTTGAAACACTCTTTTTGTAGAATCTGCAAGTGGATATTTGGAGGGCTTTGAGGACTATTTTGGAAAAGGATATATCTTAACATAAAAACTACACATAATTATTCTGAGAAACTACTGTGTTATGTGTGCATTCAACACACAGAGTTGAGCCTATCTTTTGATTGGGCAGTTTTGAATCTCTCTTTTTGCAGAATCTGCAAGTCGATATTTGTAGCGTTCTGAGACCTACTGTGGAAAAGCAAATATCTTCAAATAGAAACTACACAGAAGCATTCTGAGAAACTTTTTTGTGAGGTGTGCATTCAACTCACAGAGTCAAACCTATCTTTTGATTGAGCAGTTTAGAATCTCTCTTTTTGCAGAATCTGCAATTGGATATTTGGAGCGATTTGAGGCCTATTGTGGAAAAGGAAATATCTTCACATAAAAACTACACAGAGGCATTCTGAGAAAATACTTTGTGATGTGTGCATTCAACTCACAGAGTTGAACCTATCTTTTGATTGAGCAGTTTTGAATCTCTCTTTTTGTAGCATCTGCAGGTGGATATTTGGAGCGCTTTGTGGCCTACAGTGGAAAAGGAAATATCTTCAAATAAAAACTACACAGAATCATTCCGGGAAACGTCTTTGTGATGAGTGCATTCATCACAAACGGTTGAATCTTTCTATTGACGGAGTAATTTGGAAACACTCTTTTTGTAGAATCTGGAAGTGGATATTTGAAAAGCTTTGTGGTCTATTTTGGAAAAGGAAATATCTTCAGATAAAAACTACACAGAAGCTTTCTGGGAAACCGTTGTTAGCTGTGCATTCAAGTCACAGATGTTAACCTATCTTTTGATAGAGCGGTTTTGAAACTCTCTTTTTGTAGAATCCGCAAGTGGATACTTGGAGCTTTTTGCAGCCTATGTTTGAAAATGAAATACTCTCACATAAAATCTATACATAAGCTATCTGAGAAATTTGTTTGTGATGTGTGCGTTCATCTCTAAGAGTTGAACCATTCTTTTGATTGAGCAGTTTCAAAACACTCTTGATGTAGAATGTGCAAGTGGACATTTGGAGCACTTTGTGGCCTATGGTAGAAAAGGAAATATCTTCACATAAAATCTAGACACAAGCAATCTGAGAAACTTCTTTGTGATGTGTGCATTCATCTCACAGAGTGAAATCTTTCTTTTGATAGAGCAGTTTTGAAACACTCTTTTTGCAGAATCTGCAAGTGGACATTTGGAGCGCTTTGTGGCCTTTGGTGGAAAAGGAAATATCTTAACATAAAATCTAGGCAGAAGCAATCTGAGAAACTTCTTTGTGATGTGCGCGTTCATCTCACAGAGTTGATCTTTTTCTTGATGGAGCAGATTTGGAACTCTCTTTTTGAAGTATCTGCAAGTGGAAAATGGGAGTGCCCTGTGGCCTTTTGTGGAAAATAAATTATCTTCACTTAAAAACTACACAGGAGAATTCAGAGAAACTTCTTTGTGATGGGTGCGTTCATCTCACTGAGTTGAAACTTTTTTTTGATTGAACAGTGTGGAAACACTCTTTTTGTGGAATCTGCAAGTGGACATTTGGAGTACTTTTTAGCATATGGTAGAAAAAGAAATATCCTCACATAAAATCTATATAGAAACAGTCTGTGAAACTTCTTAGTAATGTGTGCATTCATCTCACAGAGTTAAAAATTTCTTTTGATAGAGCAATTTTGAAACTCTCTTTTGTAGAATCTGCAAGTGAGCATTTGGAGCACTTAAAGGCCTATGGTGGAAAAGGAAATATATTCACATAAAAAACTAGACAGAAGAATTCTGAGAAACTTCTTTGTGATTTGTGGCTTCATCTCACAGAGTTGAAACTTTTTTTTGATTGAGCAGTTTGGAAACACTATTTTGTAGAATCTGCAAGTGGATATTTGGAACGCTTTGCGGCCTAAAGTAGAAAAGGAAATATCTTTACATAAAATCTAGAGAGAAGCAATCTGAGAAACTTATTTGTGATGCGTGCATTCATCTCACAGAGTTAAACCTTTCTTTTGATTGAGAAGTCTTGAACTCTCTTTTTGAAGGATCTGCAAGTGGACATTTGTAGCACTTTGCGGCCGACGTTAGGAAAGGAAATATCTTCACATAAAATCTAGACAGAAGCAATCTTAGAAACTTCTTTGTGATGTGTGCATTCATCTCACAGAGTTAAGGCTCTCTTTTGTTTGAGCAGTTCTGAAACTCTCTTTTGTTGAATCTGCAAGATGACATTTGGGACGCTTTGACGCCAATAGTGGAAAAGGAAATATCTTCACATAAAAACTAGATAGAAGCATTCTGAGAAAGTTTTTGTGATATGCACATTCATCTCCCAGAGACGAAACTTTCTGTTGATGGGCCAGTTTTGAAACACTCTTTGTTTAGAATCTGCAAGTGGACATTTCAAGCGCCGTGAGGCCTGTGGTGGAAAAGGAAATATCTTCACATAAAAACTAGACAGAAGAATTCTGAGAAACTTCTTGGTGATGTGTGCATTCGTTTCACAGAGTTGAACCTTTCTTTTGATTTAGCAGTATGGAAACACTCTTTTTGTATAATACGTAAGTGAATATTTGGAGCACTTTGCAGCCAATGGCAGAAAATTAAATATCTTCACATAAAATCTAGACAGAAGCAACCTGAAAATCTTCTTTGCAATGTGTGCATTCACCTCAAAGAGCTAAACCTTTCTTTTGATTGAGGAGTTTTGAAACTCTCTTTTTGTAGAATCTGCAAGTGGATATTTGGAGGGCTTTGAGGCCTGTGGTGGAAAAGGAAATATCCTCACATAAAAACTAGGCAGATGTATACAGATAAATATCTTTGTGATGTCTGCGTTCATCTCATAGAGGTAAACATTTCTTTTGACTGAGCAGTTTGGAAACAAACTTTTTTGAAAATCTACAAGTGGACATTTTGTGCGCTTTGTGGCCTATTGTAGAAAAGGATATATCTTCACATAAATTCTAGACAGAAGCAATCTGAGCAATTTCTTTGTGATGTGTGCATTCATCTCACAGAGTTGAATCTTTCTTTTGATTGAGCAGTTTGGAAACACTTTTTTTGTAGGATCTGCAAGAGGACATTAGGAGCGCTTTGTGGCCTATGGTAGAAAAGGAAATATCTTCACATAAAATCGAGACAGAAGCAATCTGAGAATCTTCTTTGTGATGTGTGCATTCATTTCACAGAGTTAAACCTTTTCTTTTGATAGATTAATTTTGAAACTGTGTTTTTATAGAATCTGCATGTGGACATTTGGAGCGTTTTGCGATCTATTGTGGAAAAGGAAACATCTGCACATGAAAACTAGAGAGAAGAATTCTGAGAAACTTCTTTGTGATGTGTGCGTTCATCTCAGAGTTGAACGTGTCTTTTGATGGAGCAGTTTGGAAACACTCTTTTTTTTCGAAACTGCATGTAGACACTTGGAGCGATTTGTGGCCTATGGCAGAAAAGGAAATATCTTCACATAAAATCTAGACAGAACAAATCTGAGAAACTTCTTTCTGATGTGTGCATTCATCTCAGAGAGTTAAACCTTTCTTTTGATTGAGGTGTTTTGAAACTCTCTGTTTGTAGAATCTGCAAGTGGACATTTTGAATGATTTGAGGCCTATAGTGGGAAAGGAAATATCTCCACATAAAAACTAGACAGAAGAATTCTTAGAAACTTCTTCATGATGTGGGCGTTCATCTCACAGAGTTGAAGCTTTTTTTTTTTGAGCAACTAGGAAACATTCTTTATGTAGAATCTGCAAGTACACATTTGGAACGCTTTGCGGCCTGTGGTAGAAAAGGAAATAACTTCACATAAAATCTAGACGGAAGTAATCTGAGAAACCTGTTTGTGATATGTGCACTCACCTCACAGAGTTTAACCATTCTTTTGTTTAAGCAGTTTTGAAACTCTTTTTGCAGAATCTGCAAGTGGACGTTTGGAGTGCTTTGAGGCCTATGGTAGAAAAGGTAATATCTTCACATAAAATCTAGACAAAAGCAATCTGAGAATCTTCTTTGTGATGTGTGCATTCATCCATAGATTTTATGTGAATATATTTCCTTTTCTAGCATAGGCCACAAGGACTCCAAATGTCCACTTGCAGATTCTACAAAAATAGTGTGTCCAAACAGCTCAATCAAAGAAAGATCCAATTCTGTGAGATGAACGCACACATCACAAAGTAGTTTCTCAGAAATCTTATGTCTAATTTTTATGTGAAGATATTTCATTTTCCACCATAGGCCTCAAGGCACTGGAAATGTCCACTTGCAGATTCTACCAAAAGAGTATTTCAAAACTGGTCCATCAAAAGAAAGGTTCAACTCAGGGAAATGAATGTAAACATCACAAAGCAGTTTCTCAGAATGCTTCTATCTAGTTTTTCTGTGAAGATATTTCCTTTTCCACAATAGGCCTCAAAGTGCTCCAAATGTCTACTTGCAGATACTACAAAAAGAGAATTTCAAAAATGCTCAGTCAAAAGAAAGGATTAACTCTGTGAGATGAATGCACACATCACAAAGGTGTTTCTCAGACGACTTCTGTCGAGATTTTTTGTGAAGATATTTCCTTTTCTACCACAGGCCACAAAGCGCTCCAAATGTCCACTTGCAGATTCTAGAAAGAGTGTTTCCAAACTGCTTAATCAAAAGAAAAGTTCAAATCTGTGAGATGACCGCATGCATCACAAAGAAGTTTCTCAGAATTCTTCTGTCTAGTTTTTCTGTGAAGATATTTCCTTTTCCTCCACAGGCCTCAAAGGACTCAAAATGTCCACTTGCAGATTCTACAAAAATAGAGTTTCAAAACTGCTCAATCAAAAGAAAGGTTTAACTCTGTGAAATGAATGCACATATCACAAAGAAGTTTCTCAGATTGCTTCTGTCTAGATTTTATGTGAAGATATTTCCTTTTCTACCATAGGCCTCAAATCGCTCCAAATGTCCACATACAGATTCTACAAAAAGATTGTTTCCAAACTGCCCAATCAAAAGAAATATTCAACTCTGTGAGATGAATTCACACATCACAAATAAGTTTCTCAGATTGCTTCTATCTAGATTTTATGTGAAGATATTTCCTTTTCTACCATAGGCCGTGAAGCACTCCATATGTCAACTTGCAGATCCTACAAAAAGAGTGTTTCCAAACTACTCAATCAAAATAAAGGTTGAACTCCTTTAGATGAAGGCACACATCACAAAAAAGTTTCTCAGAATTCTTCTGTCTACTATTGATGGGAAGATATTTCCTATTCCACCATTGGCCTCAAAGCCCTCCAAATGTCCACTTACAGATTCTACAAAAAGAGATTTTCAAAACTGCTCAATCAAAAGAAAGGTTTAACTCTGTGAGATGAATGCACACATCCAAAGAAGTTTCTCAGATTGTTTCTGTCTAGATTTTATGTGAATACATTTCCTTTTCTACCATAGGCCACAAAGCGCTCCAAATGTCCACTTGCAGATTCTACAAAAAGAGTGTTTCCAAACTGCTCAATCAACAGAAAGGTTCAACTCTGTGAGATGAATGCACACATCACAAAGTAGTTTCTCAGAGTTCTTATGTCTAGTTTTTATGTGAAGATATTTCATTTTCCACAACAGGCCTCAAGGAACTGGAAACGTTCACTTGCAGATTCTACAAAAACAGTATTTCAAAACTGGTCAATCAAAGGAAAGATTCAACTGTGGGAAATGAATGTGCACATCACAAAGCAGTTTCTCAGAATGCTTCTATCTAGTTTTTATGTGAACATATCTCCTTTACCACAATAGGCCTCAAAGCGCCCCAAATGTCCACTTGCAGATACTACAAAAAGAGAGTTTCAAAATTGTTCAATCAAAAGAAAGCGTTAACTCTGTGAGAAGAATGCACACATCACAAAGAAGTTTCTAATATTGCTTCTGTCGAGATTTTTTGTGATGATATTCCCTTTTCTACCACATGCCACAAAGCACTGCAAATGTCCACTTGCAGATTCTAGAAAGAGTGTTTCCAAACTGCTTAATCGAAAGAAAGGTTCAACTCTGTGAGATGAACACATGCATCACACAAGTTTCTCAGAATTCTTCTGTCTAGTCTTTCTGTGAAGATATTTCCTTTTCCTCCACAGGCCTGAAAGTGCACAAAATGTCCACTTGCAGATTCTACAAAAATAGAGTTTCAAAATTGCCCAATCAAAAGAAAGGTTTAACTCCATGAGGCGAATGCACACATCAAAAAGAAGTTTCTCAGATTGCTACTTTCTAGATTTTATGTGAAGATATTTCCTTTTGTACCAATAGGCTGAAAAGCGCTACAAATGTACACTTGCAGATTCCACAAAAAGATTGTTTCCAAACTGATCAATCAAAAGAAATGTTCAACTCTGTGAGATGAATGCGCACATCACAAAGAAATTTGTCAGAATACTTCTGTCTTGCTTTTATGTGAAGATATTACCTTTTCCATCATAGGGCTCAAAGCGCTCTAAATGTCCACTTGCAGATTCTACAAAAAGAGAGTTTCAAAACTGCTGTATCAAAAGAAAGGTTTACGTCTGTGAGATGAATGAACAAATCAAAAGAAGTTTCTCAGATTGCTTCTGTCTAGATATTATATGAAGATATTTCCTTTCCTACCATAGGCTGCAAAACGCTCCAAATGTCCACTTACAGATACTATAAAAAGAGAGTTTCAAAACTTTTCAATCAAAAGAAAGTTTTAACTCTGTGAGATGAAAGCACCCATCACAAAGAAGTTTCTCAGATTGCTTCTGTCTAGATTTTATGTGGAGATATTTCCTTTTCCATCATAGACTGCAATGCGTTCCAAATGTCCACTTGCCAATTCTACAACAAGAGTGTTTTCAAACTGCTCAATGAAAACAAAGGTTCAACTCTGTGAGATGAATGCAAACATCACAAAGAAGTTTCTCAGAATTCTTCTGTCTAGTTTTTAGTGTGAAGACATTTCCATTTCCACCATAGGCCTCCACGTGCTCCAAATATCCACTTGCAGATTCTACAAAAAGAGTGTTTCAAACTGCTCAATCAAAAGAAAGGTTCAACTCTGTGAGATAAATGCATACATCACAAAGAAGTTTGTCTGAATTCTTCTGTCTAGTTTTTATGAGAAGATGCTTCCTTTTTCACCATAGGCCTGAAAACACTCCAAATGTCCTCTTACAGATTCGACAAAAAGAGAGTTTCAAAACTGCTCAATCAAAAGAAAGGTTTAACTATGTAAGATGAATACAAACATCACAAAGACGTTTCTCAGATTGCTTCTGTCTAGATTTTAAGTGAAAATACTTCCTTTTCTAACATAGGCTGAAAAGCGCTCCAAATGTCCACTTGCAGATTCTACAAAAAGAGAGTTTCGAAACTGCTCAATCAAAGGAAAAGTTTCACTCCGTGAGAAGAATGCACACATCAGAAAGAATATTCTCAGACTACTTCTGTCTAGATTTTATGCGAAGATATTTCCTTTTCTACCATAGACCGCATAGCTCTCCAAATGTGCACGTGCAGATTTTACAAAAAGAGTGTTTCCAAACTGCTCAATCAAAAGAAAGGTTCAACTCTGTTGAGATGAACGCACACATCACAAAGAAGTTTCTCAGAATTCTTCTGTCTAGTTTTTATGTGATGATATTTCCTTCTGTACCATGGGCCTCAAAGCGCTCCAATTGTTCACTTGAAGATTCTACAAAAAGAGAGTTTCAAAACTGATCAATCAAAAGAAAGGTGTAACTCTGAGATGAATGCACACATCACAAGTAAGTTTCTCACATTGCTTTTGTCTAGATTTTATGTGAAGTTATTTACTTTTCTACCATGGGACACAAAGTGCTCTAATTGTCCACCTGTAGATTCTACAAAAAGAGTATTTCCAAACTGCTCAACAAAAAGAAAGACTCAACTCTGTGAGATGAACTCACACATCACAAAGAAGTTTCTTAGAATTCTTCTGTTTAGTTTTTATGTGATGTCATTTCCTTTTCCAACATAGGATTCAGAGTGCTCCAAATGTCCACCTGCAGATTCTGCAAAAAGAGAGTTTCTAAAATGCTCAATCAAAAGAAAGGTTTAACTCTGTGAGATGAATGCACACATTACAAAGAAGTTTCTCAGATTGTTTCAGTATAGATTTTATGTGAAAATATTTCCTTTTCTATCATAGGCCACAAAGCACTCCAAATGTCCACTTGCTGATTTTACATAAAGAGTGTTTCCAAACTGCTGAATCAAAAGAAAAGTTCAATTCTGTGAGATGAAAGCACACATCACAAAGCAGTTTCTCGGAATTCTTCTGTCTAGTTTTTATGCGAAGATATTTCCTTTTCAAACATAGGCCTCAAGGTGCTCGAAATGTCCACTTGCACATTCTATAAAAAGAGTATTTCAAAACTGGTCCTTTGAAAGAATGTTTCAGCTCTGGGAGATGAATGCACATATCACAAGGAAGTTTGTCAGAATGCTTCTATCAAGTTTTTATGTGAAGACATTTCCTTTTCTACCATAGGCCTAAAAGTGCTCCAAATGTCCACCTGCAGATTCTACAAAAAGAGAGTTTCAAAACTTCTCAATCAAAAGAAAGGGTTAACTCTGTGAGAGGAATGCACACATCAAAAAGAAGTTTCTCAGATTGCTTCTTTCTAAATTTGATGTGTAGATATTCCGTTTTTGTCATTGGCTGCAAAGCGCACCAAATGTTCATTTGCAGATTCTACAAAAAGAGTTTTTCCAAACTGCTCAATCAAAAGAAAGTTTCAACTCTGTGAGATTAACACACACATCACAAAGAAGTTTCCCAGAATTCTTCTGTCTAGTTTTTATGTGAAGATATTTCCTTTTGCACCACAGGTCTCAAAATGCTCCAAATGTCCACTTGCAAATTCTACGAAAAGAGATTTTCAAAACTGCTCAACCAAAAGAAAGGTTTAACTCTGTTAGATGAATGCACACATCACAAAGAAGTTTCTCAGATTGCTTCTGTCTAGATTTTATGTGAAGATATTTCCTTTTCTAACATAGGCCACAAAGCATTCCAAATGTCCACTTGCAGATTCTACAAAAAGAGTGTTTCCAAAGTGCTCAATCAAAAGAAAGTTTCAATTCTGTGAGATGATTGCACACATCACAAAGAAGTTTCTCAGAATTTTTCTGTCTAGTTTTTATGTGAAGATATTTCGGTTTCACCATAGGGCTCAAAGTGCTCCAAATGGCCACTTGCAGATTTTACAAAAAGAGAGTTTCAAAACTCCTCAATCAAAAGAAAGGTTTAACTCTCTTAGATGAATGCACACATCCAAGCAAGTTTCTCAGGTTGCTTCTGTCTGGATTTTATGTGAAGATATTTCCTTTTCTACCATAAACCCCAAAGCACTACAAATGTCCACTTGCAGATCCACAAAAAGAGAGTTTCCAAACTGCTCAATCAAAAGACAGGTTCAACTCTGTGAAATGAATGCACACATCACAAAGAAGTTTCTCAGAATTATTCTGTCTAGTTTTTATGTGAAGATATTTCCTTTTCCAACAGAGGCCTTAAAGCCCTCCAAATATCCACTTGCAGATTGTACAAAAAGAGAGTTTCAAAACTCCTCAATCAAAAGAAAGGTTTAACTCTCTGAGGTGAATGCACAAATCACAAAGAAGTTTCTCTGATTGCTTATGTCTAGATTTTATGTGAAGATAGTCCTTTTTCTACCATAGGTGAGAAAGCGCTCCAAATGTCCACTTGCAGATTCTACAAAAAGATGGTTTCCAAATTTCTCAATCTAAAAAATGGTTCAGCTCTGTGGGATGAACAAACACATCACATAGAAGTTGCTCAGAATACTTCTTTCTAGTTTTGTTGTGAAGATATTTCATTTTCCACAATAGGCCTCAAGGAACTCCAAATGACCAAATTCAAGTTCTACAAAAAGATTATTACAAAACTGGTCCATCAATAGAAAGGTTCAACTCTGGGAAATGAATGCACACATCACCAAGAGGTTGCTCAGAATGCTTCCCTCTAGTTTTTATGTGAATATATTTTCCTTTGCACCATAGGCCTCGAGGCGCTCCAAATGTCCACATGCAGATTTTATAAAAAGAGAGTTTTAAAACTGCTCAATCGAAAGAAATGTTTAACTCTGTGAGATGAATGCACACAAAAAGAAAAGCTTCCTCAGATTGCTTCTGTCTAGATTTTATGTGAAGATAATTCCTTTTCTACCATAGGCCGCAAAGTGCTCCATATGCTCACTTGCAGATTCTACTAAAAGAAAGAGTGTTCCCCATCTTCTCAATCAAAAGAAAGGTTCAACTCTGTCAGATGAACGTTGGCATCACAAAGAATTTTCTCAGAATTCTTCTGTCTACTTTTTATGTGATCCATAGGCCTAAAAGCTCTCCAAATGTCCACTTGCAGATTCTACGAAAAGAGACTTCCAAAACTTCTCAATCAAAAGGAAGGTTTAACTCTGTGAGATGAATGCACACATCACAAAAAGTTTCTCAGATTGCTTCTGTCTAGATTTTATGTGAAGTTATTTCCTTTTCTACCATAGAACCCGAAGCACTTATAATGTCCCCTTGCAGATTCTACAAAAAGAATGTTTCAAAAGTGCTCAATCAAAAGAAAGGTTCAATTCTGTGAGATGAATGCTCGCATCACCAAGAAGTTTCTCAAAATACTTCTGTCTAGTTTTTATGTGAAGACATTTCCTTTTCCATGATAGGTCTCAAAGTGATCAAAATTTCCACTTGCAAATTCTACAAAAAGAGAGTTTCAAAACTGCTCAATCAAAAGAAAGGTTTATATCTGTGAGATGAACACACACTTCACAAAGAAGTTTCTAAGATTTCTTCTGTCTAGATTTTATGTGATGATATTTCCTTTTCTACCATACTTTGCAAACTGCTCCAAATGTCCACCTGTAGATTCTACAAAAAGAGTGTTTCCAAACTGCTCAATCAAAAGAAAGGTTAACTCTGTGAGAGGAACGCACACATCACAAAGAAGTTTCTCAGAATTCTTCTGTCTAGTTCTAATGTGAAGATATTTCCTTTTGGACCAGAGGCCTCAAGGCGATCGAAATGTCCCCTTGTAGATTCTACAAAAAGAGTATTTCAGAACTGGTCCATCAAGAGAAAGGTTCAACTCTGGGAGATGAATGCACACATCACAAAGAAGTTTCTCAGAATGCTTCTATCTAGTTTTTACTTGAAGATATTTCCTTTCCCACCATAAGCCTCAAAGCGCTCCAAATGTCCACTTGCAGGTTTTGCAAAAAGAGAGTTTCCAAAGTTCTCAATCAAAAGAAACGGTTAACTCTGTGAGATAAATGCACACATCACAAAGAAGTTTCTCAGAATTTTTCTGTCTAGTTTTTGTGTGAAGATATTTCATTTTCCACCATAGGCGTCAAGGTGCTTGAAAGGTCCACTTTCAGATTCCACAAAAAGTTTATTTCAAAACTGCTTAATCAAAAGAAATGTTTAACTCTGTCAGATGAATGCACAAATTACAAATAAGTTTCTCAGGATTCTTCTGTCTAGTTTTTACGTGAAGATATTTCCGTTTCAACCACAGGCCTCAAAGGGCTCCAAATGTCCAATTGCAGATTGTATAAAAAGAGATTTTGAAAACTCCTCAATCAAAAGAAAGGTTTAACTCTGTGAGATGAACGCACACATCACAAAAGGTTTCTCAGATTGTTTCTGTCTAGATTTTATGTGAAGTTATTTCCTTTTCCACCATAGAATGAAAAGGGCTCCAAATATCCCCTTGCAGATTCTACAAAAACAGTGTTTCCAAACTGCTCAGTCAGAAGAAAGGTTCAACTCTGTGAGATGAACACATGCATCACGAAAAACTTTCTCAGAATTCTTCTGTCTAGATATTTCATTTTCCAACATAGGCCTCAAGGCACTTGAAATGACCCCTGGCAGATTTTACAAAAGGAGTATTTCAAACCTGGCCCATCAAAAGAAAGGTTCAACTCTTTGAGTTGAATGCACACATCACATAGAAGTTTCTCCGAATTTTTCTCTCTGGTTTCTATGTGAAGATATTTCCTTTTCCACCATAGGCCTCAGGGCGCTCGAAATGTCCATCTGCAGATCCTACAAAAACAGTATTTGAAAACTGGTCCATCAAAAGAAAGGTTCAACTCTGGGAGACGAATGCACACATCACAAAGAAGTTCTCAGAATGCTTCTATCTTGTTTTTATGTGAAGATATTTACTTTTCCACCATAGGCCCCAAAGCCCTCCAAATGTCCAATTGCAGATTCTACAAAAAGAGAGTTTCAAAACTGCTCAATCAAAAGAAAGGTTTAACTCTGTGAGATGAATGCACACATCACAAAGAAGATTCTCAGATTACTTCTGTCTAGATTGTGTGTAAAGATATTTCCTTTTCTACCATAGACCACAAAGCACTCCAAATGTCCACTTGCAGATTCTGCAAAAAGAGTGTTTCCAAATTGCTCAAACAAAGGTTCAACACTGTGAGAAGAACGCACACATAAAAAAGAAGTTTCTCAGAATTCTTCTGTTTATTTTTTATGTGAAGATGTTTCCTTTTCCATCATAGGCCTCAAGGCGCTCCAAATGTCCACTTGCAGATCCTACAAAAAGAGAGTTTTAAAACTGCTCAATCAAAAGAAAGGTTTCACTCTGTGAGATAAATGCACACATCACAAATAATTTTCTCAGATTGCTTCTGTCTAGATTTTATGTGAAGATAGTTCCTTTTCTACCATAGGACGCAAAGTGCTCCAAATGTCCACATGCAGATTTTACAATAAGAGTGTTTCAAAACTGCTCTATCAAAACAAAGTTTCAACTCTGTGAAATGAACATACACATTACAAAGAAGTTTCTCAGAATTCTTCTGTCTAATTTTTATGTGAAGATATTTCCTTTTCCATCTTAGGCCTCAAAGCGCTCCCAATGTCCAATTGCAGATTCAACAAAAAGAGAGTTTCAAAACTGCTCAATCAGAAGAAAGGTTTCACTCAGTGAGATAAATGCACACATCACAAAGAAGTTTATAAGATTGCTTCTGTCAAGATTTTATATGAAGATATTTCATTTTCTACCATAGGCCTCAAGGCGCTCAAAATGCGCCCTGGCAAATTCTACAAAAGGAGTATTTCAAACCTGGTCCATCAAAAGAAAGGTTAAACTCTTTGAGATGAATGCACACATCACAAAGAAGTTTATCATAATTATTCTCTCTAGTTTTTAATGTGAAGATATTTCCTTTTCCGCTGCAGGCCTCAAGGCACTTGAAATGTCCACTTGCAGATCCTACAAAAACAGTATTTCAAAATTAGTCCATCAAAAGAAAGGTTCAACTCTGGGAGATTAATGCACACATCACAAAGAAGTTTCTCAGAATGCTTCTGTCTAATTTTTATGTGAACATATTTCCTTTTCCACCATAGGCCTCAAAGCGCTCCTAATGTCAATTTGCAGATTCTACAAAAAGAGAGTTTCAAAACTACTCCATCAAAAGAAAGGTTTCACTCTGTGAGATGAATGCACACATCACAAAGAAGTTTCTCAGATTGCTTCTGTCTAGATTTTCTGTGAAGAGATTTCCTTTTCTATGAAAGGCCGCAAAGGGCACCAAATGTCCACTGGCAGATTCTACAAAAAGAGGGTTTCCAAACTGCTCTATCAAAAGAAAGGTTCAACTCTGTGATATGAATGCACAAATCACAAAGAAGTTTCTCAGAATTCTTCTGTCTCGTTTTTATGTGAAAGTATTTATTTTCCCTCTATAGGCCTCAAGGTGCTCGAAATGTCCACTTGCATATTCTACAAAAGGAGTATTTCATAATTGGTCCATTAAAAGAAAGGTTCAACTCTGGGAGATTAATGCACACATCATGAAGAAGTTATTCAGAATGCTTCTGTATAGTTTTTATTGAAGATATTTCCTTTTTCACCATCGGCCTCAAAGCCCTCCAAATGTCCACTTGCAGATTACACAAAAAGGGAGTTTCAAGACTGCTCAATCAAAAGAAAGTTTTAACTCTGGAATATGAATGCACACATCACAAAGAAGTTTTTCAGATAGCTTCTGTCTAGATTTTATGTGTAGATATTTCCTTTTCTACCATAGGCTGCAAAAAGCTCCAAATGTCCACCTGCAGATACTACAAAATAAAATGTTTCCAAACTCCTCAATGAAAAGAAAGTTCAACTCTTTGAGATGAACACACACATCAAAAAGAAGATTCTCAGAATACTTCTGTCTAGTTTTTATGTGAGAATATTTCCTTTTCCATCATAGGTCTCAAAGCGCTCCATATGTCCACTTGCAGGTTCTACAAAAAGAGAGTTTCAAAACTGTTCAATCAAAAGAAAGGTTTAACTCTGTCAGATGAATGCCCACTTTAAAAAGAAGTTTCTCAGATTACTTCTGTCTAGACTTTATATGAAGATATTTCCCTTTCTACCATAGTCCACCACGTGCTCCAAATGTCCACTGCAGATTTTACAAAAAGAGTGCTTCCAAACTGCTCAGTCAAAAGAAAGGTTCAACTCTGTGAGATGAATGCTCGCATCACAAGGAAGTTTTTCAGAATTCTTCTGTCTAGTTGTTATGTGAAGATATTTCCTTTTCCACCTTAGTCCTCAAAGCCCTCAGTTTCCAAACTACTCAATCAAAAGAAAGGGTCAACTCTGTCAGATGAATGCACACAACACAAGGATGTTTCTCAGAATTCCTCTGTCTAGTTTTTATGCGAAGATATTTCCTTTTCCACTGTAGGCCTCAAGAGGCTTGAAATGTCCACTTGCAGATCCTACAAAAACAGTATTTGAAAACTGGTCCATCAAAAGAAAGGTTTCACTCAGGGAGATGAACCCACACATCACAAAGAAGTTTCTCAGAATTTTTCTGTCTAGTTTCCATGTGAAGATATTTCCTTTTCCACCATAGGCCTCAAAGCGATCCAAATGTCCACTAGCATATTCCACAAAAAGAGAGTTTCAAACTGTTCAATCACAGGAAAGGTTTAAGTCTGTGAGATGAATACACACATCACAAAGAAGTTTCTCAGATTGCTTCGGCCAAGATTTATATGAAGATATTTCCTTTTCTGCAAGAGGCCGCAAAGAGCTCCAAATGTCCACTTGCAGATCTTACAGAAAGAGTGTTTCTAAACTGCTCAATCAAAAGAAAGGTTCATCTGTGTGAGATGAACGCATGCATCGAAAGAAGTTTCACAGAATTTTTCTCTCTAGTTTTCATTTGAAGATATTTTCTTTTCCACCGTAGGCCTCAAAGCCTTCCAAATATCCACTTGCAGATTCTAGAAAAAGAGTTTTTCCAAACTGCTCCATGAAAAGAAACTTTGAACTTTGTGAGATGAATGCACACGTCTCAAGGTAGTTTTTCAGAATTCTTCTGTCTAGTTTTAATTTGAAGATATTTTCTTTTCCACCATAGGCATCAAATCGCTCTAAACATCCACTTGCAGAATCTACAAAAAGAGAGTTTCAAAACTGCTCAATTTAAAGAAAGTTTTAACTCTGTGACACGAATGCACACATCAGAAAGAAGTTTCTCAGATTGCTTCTTTCTAGATTTTATGTGAAGATATTTCCTTTTCTACCATAGGCCGCAAAGCACTCCAAATGTCCACTTGCAGATCCTACAAATGATTGTTTCCAAACTGCTCAACCAAAAGAAAGGTTTGAATCTGTGAGATGAATGTACACATCAAAAGAAGTTTCTCAGGTTGCTTTGGCAGAGATTTATATGAAGATATTTCCTTTTCTACCATAGGCTGCAAAGGGCTCCAAATGTCCACTTGCAGATTCTACAGAAAGAGTGTCTCCAAACTTCTCAATCAAAAGGAAGTTTCATCTGTGTGAGATGAACGCACGCATCAGAAAAAAAGTTTCACAGAATTCTTCTCTGTAGTTTTCATGTGAAGATATTTCCTTTTCCACCACAGGCCTCAAAGCCCTCAAAATGTCCACTTGAAGATTCTACAAAAAGAATGTTTCCAAATTGCTCCATGAAAACAAACTTTGAACTCTGTGAGATGAATGCACACATCACAAAGAAGTTTCTCAGAACTCCTCAGTCTAGTTTTTATGTGAAGATATTTCCTTTTCCACCCAAGGCCTCAAGAGTTCCAAATATCCACTTGCAGATTTTACAAAAAGAGAGTTTCAAAACTCCTCAATCAAAAGAAAGGTTTAACTCTCTTAGACGAAAGCACACATCACAAGGAAGTTTGTCAGGTTGCTTCTGTCTAGATTTTCAGTGAAGAGATTTCCTTTTCTACCATAGACCCCAAAGCGCACCAAATGTCCACCAGCAGATTCTATAAAAAGAGAGTTTCCAAACTGCAAAATCAAAAGAAAGATTCAACTCTGTGATATGAATGCACAAATTACAAAGCAGTTTCTCAGATTTCTTCTGTCTCGTTTTTATGCGAAAGTATTTATTTTCCCTCTATAGGCCTCAAGGTGCTCGAAATGTCCACTTGCATATTCTACAAAAGGAGTATTTCATAATTGGTCCATTAAAAGAAAGGTTCAACTCTGGGAGATTAATGCACACATCATGAAGAAGTTATTCAGAATAGTTCTATCTAGTTTTTATTGAAGATATTTCCTTTTCCACCATCGGCCTCAAAGCCCTCCAAAAGTCCACTTGCAGATTACACAAAAAGGGAGTTTCAAAACTGCTCAATCAAAAGAAAGGTTTAACTCTGGAGTATGAATGCACACATCACAAAGAACTTTTTCAGATAGCTTCTGTCTAGATTTTATGTGTAGATATTTCCTTTTCTACCATAGGCTACAAAACGCTCCAAATGTCCACCTGAAGATTCTACAAAATAAAGTGTTTCCAAACTCCTCAATCAAAAGAAAAGTTCAACTCTTTGAGATGAATGCACGCATGAAAAAGAAGTTTCTCAGAATACTTCTGTCTAGTTTTTATGTGAGAATATTTCCTTTTCCATCATAGGACTCAAAGCGCTCCAAATGTCCACTTGCAGATCCCACAAAAAGAGAGTTTCAAAACTGCTCAATCAAAAGAAAGGTTTAACTCCATCAGATGAATGCCCACTTCACAAAGAAGTTTCTAAGATTGCCTCTGTCTAGACTTTACATGAAGATATTTTCCTTTCTACCATAGGCCACCACGTGCTCCAAATGTCCACTGGCAGTTTCTCCAAAAAGAGGGTTTCCAAACTGCTCAATCAAAAGAAAGGTTCAACTCTGTGAGATGAACGCACGCATCACAAAGAAGTTTTTCAGAATTCTTCTGTCTAGTTTTTATGTGAAGATATTTCCTTTTCCACCTTAGTCCTCAAAGCCCTCCAAATGTCCACTTGCAGATTCTACAAAAACAGTATTCCAAAACTGGTCCTTCAAAAGAAAGTTTCAACTCTTGGAGATGAATGTACACATCACAAAGAAGTATCTCTGAATGCTTCTATCTAGTTTTTATGTGAAGATATTTGCTTTTCCACCATAGGCCTGAGAGCCCTACAAATGTCCACTTGCAGATTTTATAAAAAAAGTGTTTCAGAACTGCTCAATCGAAAGAAAGGATTAACTCAGTGAGATGAATGCACACATCACAAAGAAGTTTCTCAGATTGCTTCTGTCTAGATTTCACGTGAAGATATTTCCTTTTCCACCATAGACCTCAAAGTGCTCCAAATGTCCACTAGCAGAATCTACAAAAAGAGAGTTTCAAAACTGCTCTATAAAAACAAAGGTTTAACTCTGTGAGATGAATGCACTCATCACAAAGTAGTTTCTTGTATTGCTTCTGTCTAGATTTTATGTGAATACATTTCCTTTTCTACCATAGACCGTAAAGTGCTCCTAATGTCCACTTGCAGATACTCTATAAAAGCAGTGTTTCCAAACTGCTCAATCAAAAGAAAGTTTCAACTGTGTGAGGTGAACACACACGTCATAAAGAAATTTCTCAGAATTCTTCTATCTAGTTTTTATGTGAAGATACTTCCTTTTTCACCATAGGACTCAAAACGCTCCAAATGTCCACTTGCAGATTCTACAAAAAGAGAGTTTCAAAACTGCTCAATCAAAATAATGGTTAACTCTGTAAGATGAAGGCACACATCCCAAAGGAATTTCTCATATTGCTTCTGCATAGATTTTATGTGAAGTTATTTTCTTTGCTGCCATAATCTGCAAAGAGCTCGAAATGTCCACTTGCAGATTCCACAAAAAGAATTTTTCCAAACTGCTCAATCAAAAGAAAGTTTCAAATCTGTGAGATAAATGCACACATCACAAGGTAGTTCCCCAGTATTTTTTGTCTAGTTTTTATGTAAAGATACTTCCCTTTCCACCATAGGCCTCAAAGTGCTCCAAATGTCTACTTGCAGATTCTACAAAAAGAGTATTTCAAAACTTTTCCATCAAAAGAAAGGTTCAACACTGGGAGATGAATGCACACATCACAAAGAACTTTATTGGAATGCTTCAATCTACTTTTTATGTGAATATATTTCCTTTTCCACCATAGGCCTCAAAGCACTCCTAATGTCCCCTTGCAGATTCTACAAAAGGAGAGTTTCAAAACTACTCAATCTAAAGAAAGGGTTAATTCTGTGAGGTGAATGCACACAACACAAAGCAGTTTCTCAGATTGCTTCTGTCAAGATTGTATGTGAAGTTATTTCCTTTTCCACCATAGGCCTCAAAGCGTTCCAAATGTCCACTTGCAGATTCTAGAAAAAGAGAGTTTCAAAACTGCTCAATCAAAAGAAAGTTTTAACTCTGTGAGATGAATTCCCACATTACAAAGAAGTTTCTCAGGTTGCTTCTGTCTAGATTTTATGTGAAGATATTTCCTTTTCTACCATAGGCCACGAAGCACTCCAATGTCCTCTTGTAGATTCTACAACAAGAGTGTTTCTAAACGGCTCAATCAACAGAAAGGTTTAACTCTGTGAGAGGAATGTTTATATCACAAAGAAGTTTCTCAGAATTCTTCTCTCTAGTTTTTATGTAAAGATATTTCGTTTTTCACCAAAGGCCTCCAGGCACTCGAATTGTCCACTTGCAGATCCTATAAAAAGAGAATTTCAAAACTGGTCCATCAAAAAAAAGGTTTAACTCTGAGAGATGAATGCAAACATCACAAAGAAGTTTCTCAGATTGCTTCAGTCTTGATTTTATGTGAAGATATTTCCTTTTCTACCATAGGCCGCAAAGAGCTCCAAATGTCCACGTGCAGATTCTACAAAAAGAGTGGTTCCAAACTGCTGAATCAAAAGAAAGTTTCAACTCTGTGAGATGAACTCACACATAACAAAGAAGTTTCTCAGAATTCTTCTGTCTAGTTTTTATGTGAAGATATTTCATTTTCCCCCTTAAGCCTCAAGGCACTCCAAAAGTCCACTTGCAGATACTACAAAAAGAGTATTTCAAAACTGGTCCATCAAAAGAAAGATTCAACTCTGGGAGATGAATAGACACATCATAAAGTAGTTTCTCAGAATGCTTCTATCTAGTGTTTATGTGAAGATACTTCCTCCTCCGCCATAGGCCCCAAGTGCTCCAAATGTCCACTTGCAGATTCTACAAAAAGAGAGTTTCAAAACTGCTCAATCAAAAGAAAGGGTTAACTCTGTGAGATGAATGCACACATCAGAGAGATTTTCAGATTGCTTCTGTCTGGATTTTATGTGAAGATATTTCCTTTTCTACCTATGGCTGCAAAGAGCTCCAAATGTCTACTTACAGATTCTACAAAAAGAGTGTTTCAAAACTGCTCAAAGAAGGCTTCAAATCTGTGAGATGAACACACAAATCACCAAAAAGTTTGTCAGAGTACTTCTGTCTAGTTTTTATCTGAAGAGATTACCTATTCCACCATAGGCCTCAAAGCGCTCCAAATGTTCACTTGCAGATTCTACAAAAAGAGAGTTTCAAAACTGCACTATCAAAAGAAATGATTAACTCTGTGAGATGAATGCACGCATCACAAAGAAGTTTCTCAGATTGCTTCTGTCTAGATTTAATGTGATGACATTTCCTTTTCTACTATAGGTCGCAAAGCGCTCAAAATGTTCATTTGTGGATACTACAAAAAGAGTGTTTGCAAATTGCTCAATCAAAAGGAAGTTTCAACTCTGTGAGATGAATGCACACATCACAAAGAAGTGTCTCAGAATTCTTCTGAGTTTTTCATGTGATGATGTTTTTATGTGAAGATATTTCATTTTCCACCATTGTCCTCAAGGCACTCGAAATGTCCAGTTGCAGATTCTACCAAAAGAGTACTTCAAAACTGCTCCATCAAAAGAAAGGTTCAATATGGGAGATGAAAGCACTCATCACAAAGAAGTTTCTTGGAATACTTCTACTTAGTTTTTATGTGAAGATATTTCCTTTTCCACCATAGGCCTCAAAGAGCTCCAAATGCCGACTTGCAGATTCTACAAAGAGAGATTTTCAAAACTGCTCAACCAAAAGAAAAGTTTAACACTGTGAGATGATAGCACACATCACAAAGAAGTTTCTCAGATGGCTTCTGTCCAGATTTTATGTCCAGATATTTCCAGTTCTACCACAGGCTTCAAATCACTCCAAATGTCCACTTGCAGATTCTATAAAAAGAGTGCTTTCAAACTGCATAATCAAAGGAAAGCTTCAGCTCTGTGAGATGAATGCACACGTCACAAAGAAGTTTTACAAAATTTTCTGTCTAGTTTTTATGTGAAGATACTTCCTCCTCTGCCATAGGCCCCAAGTGTTCCAAATGTCCACTTGCAGATTCTACAAAAAGAGAGTTTCAAAACTGCTCAATCAAAAGAAATGTTTAACTCTGTGAGATGAATGCACACGTCACAAAGAAGTTTCTCAGATTTCTTCTGTCTAGATTTTACATGAAGATAATTCCTTTTCCACCATAGGCTGCAAAGCTCTCCAAATGTCCACTTTCAGATTCTGCCAAAAGGGTGTTTCCAAACTGCTCAATCAAAAGAAAGGTTCAACTCTGTGAGATGAATGCACACATCATAAAGAAGTTTCTCAGAATTCTTCTTTCTAGTTTTTATGTGAAGATACTTCCTTTTCCACTATAGGCCTCAAAGCACAAGTGTCCACTTGCAGATTCTACAAAAAGACTGTTCCAAAACTGCTCAAACTAAACAAAGGTTTAACTCTGTGAGATGAGTGCACACATCACAAAGAAGTTTCTCAGATTGCTTCTTGTAGAATATATGTAAAGTTAATTCCTTTTCACCATAGGTCACAAAGCACTCAAAAAGTCCACTTGTAGATAATACAAGAGAGTTTCAAAACTGCTCAATCTAAAGAAAGGTTTAACTCTGTGGGATGAATGCACACATAACAAAGAAATTTCCAAGATTGCTTCTGTCTATATTTTATGTGAAGATATTTCCTTTTCTACCATAGGCCTCAAAGTGCTCCATATGTCCACTTGCAGATTCTACAAAAAGAGTGTTTCCACACTGCTAAATCAAAAGTAAGGTCAAGTCTGTGAGATGAGTGCACACATCACAAAGAAGTTTCTCAGAATGCTTCTTTCTCTTTATTATACGAAGATATTTCGTTATCCACCATAGGCCTCAAAGAGCTCCAAATGTCCACTTGTGGATTCTACAAAGAGAGTGTTTCAAAACTGCTCAATCAAAAGTAATGTTCAACTCTGTGAGATGAATGCACACATCACAAAGATGTTTGTCAGAATGTGTCTGTTTAGATTTTATGTGAAGATATTTCCTTTTCTACCATAGGCCTCAAAGCGCTAGAAATGTCCTCTTGCAGACTTCAGTAAAAGAGGTTTTCAAGCAGCTCAATCAAAATAAATGTTCAACACTGTGAGATGAATGCACACGTCACAAAGAAGTTTGTCAGAATGCTTCTGTCTAGTTCTTATGTGAAGATATTTCCTTTTCCACCAAAGGCTTCAAAGCACTCCAAATGTCCAATCACAGATTGTACCAAAAGGGGGCTTCAAAACAGCTAAATCAAAAGTAAGGATCAACTCTGTGAGATGAATGCACATATCGCAAAGAAGGTTGTCAGAATCTTCCTGCCTAGTTTTTATGTGAAGATATTTCCTTTTTACCATAGGCCTAAAAGTGCACAAAACGTCCACTTGCAGATATTACAAAAAGAGTGCTTCCAAACTGCTAAATCAAAAGAAAGGTTCAACTCTGTGGGATGAATGCACACATAACAAAGAAGGTTTTTAGAAGGCTTCTGTCTAGTTATTATATGAAGATATTTTGTTACCCAACATAGTCCTGAAAGCGCTCCAAATGTCCACTTGCAGATTCTACAAAGAGAGTGTTCCGGGAGAGGAAACAAGATGGCCGAATAGGAACAGCTCCGGACTACAGCTCCCTGTGTGAGTGACGCGGAAGATGGGTGATTTCTGCATTTCCATCTGAGGTACCAGGTTCATCTCACCAGTGAGTGCCAGACAGTAGGAGCAGGTCAGTGGGTGAGTGCACCATGCACGAGCCAAAGCAGGGCGAGGCATTGCCTCACTCTGGAAGGACTAGGGGTCAGGGATTTCCCTTTCCTAGTCAAAGAAAGGGGTGACAGAGAGCACCTAGAAATCAGGTCACTCCCACCCGAATACTGTGCTTTTCCCATGGGCTTAAAAAACGCCACACGAAGAGATTATATCCCGCACCTGGCTCGGAGGGTCCTACGCCCATGGAGTCTCACTGATTGCTAGCACAGCTGTCTGAGATCAAACTGCGAGGAGGCAGCGAGGCTAGGGGAGGGGCACCCGCCATTGCCCAGGCTTGCTTAGGTAAACAAAGCAGCTGGGAAGCTCGAACTGGGTGGAGCCCACCACAGCTCAAGGAGGCCTGCCTGCCTCTGTAGGCTCCACCTCTGGGGGCAGGACACAGACAAACAAAAAGACAGCAGTAACCTCTGCAGACTTAAATGTCCCTGTCTGACAGCTTTCAAGAGAGCAGTGGTTCTCCCAGCACGCAGCTGGAGATCTAAGCATGGGCAGACTGCCTCCTCAAGTGGGGTCCTGACCCCTGAACCCTGAGCAGCCTAACTGGGAGGCACCCACCCAGCAGGGGCAGACTGACACTTCACATGGCCAGGTACTCCAACAGACGTGCAGCTGAGGGTCCTGTTTGTTAGAAGGAAAACTAACAAACAGAAAGGACATCCACAGCAAAAACCCATCAGTACATCACTATTATGAAAGACCAAAAGTACATAAAACCACAAAGTTGGGGAAAAAACAGAGCAGAAAAACCGGAAAATCTAAAAAGCAGAGCGCCTCTCCTCCTCAAAAGGAATGCAGTTCCTCACCAGCAACGGAACAAAGCTGGACGGAGAAGGACTTTGACTAACTGAGAGAAGAAGGCTTCAGACGATCAAATTACTCTGAGCTACAGGAGAACATTCAAACCAAAGGCAAAGAAGTTGAAAACGTTGAAAAAATTTTAGAAGGATGTATAACTAGAAAAACCAACACAGAGAAGTGCTTAAAGGAGCTGATGGAGCTGAAAGCCAAGGCTCGAGAAGTACGTGAAGAATGCAGAAGCCTCAGGAGCTGATGTGATCAACTGGAAGAAAGGGTATCAGCAATGGAAGATGAAGTGGATGAAATGAAGCAAGAAAGGAAATTTAGAGAAAAAAGAATAAAAAGAAATGAGTAAAGCCTCCAAGAAATATGGGACTATGTGAAACCACCAAATCTACGTCTGATTGGTGTACCTGAAAGTGACGGGGAGAATGGAACCAAGTTGGAAAACACTCTGCAGGATATTATCCAGGAGAACTTCCCCAACCTAGCAAGGCAGGCCAACATTCAGATTCAGGAAATACAGAGAACACCACAAAGATACTCCTCGAGAAGAGCAACTCCACGACACATAATTGTCAGATTCACCAAAGTTGAAATGCAGGAAAAAATGTTAAGGGCAGCCAAAGAGAAAGGTCAGGTTACCCTCAAAGGGAAGCCCATCAGACTAACAGCAGATCCCTTGGCAGAAACTCTACAAGCCAGAAGAGAGTGGGGGCCAATATCCAACCTTCTTAAAGAAAAGAATTTTCAACCCAGAATTTCATATCCAGCCAAACTAAGCTTCATAAGTGAAGGAGAAATAAAATCCTTTACAGACAAGCAAATGCTGAGAGATTTTGTCACCACCAGGACTGCCCTAAAAGAGCTTCTTAAGGAAGCACTAAATATGGAGAGGAACAACTGGTACCAGCCGTGGCAAAATCATGCCAAAATGTAAAGAACATCGTGACTAGGAAGAACCTGCATCAACTAACGAACAAAATAACCAGCTAACATCATAAGGACAGGATCAAATTCACACATAACAATATTAACTTTAAATGTAAATGGACTAAATACTCCAATTAAAAGACACAGACTGGCAAATTGGATAAAGAGTCCAGACCCATCAGTATGCTATGTTCAGGAAACCCAATTCGTGTGCAGAGACACACATAGGCTCAAAATAAAACGATGGAGGAAGATGTACCATACAAATGGAATGCAAAAAAAGGCAGGGATTGCAATCCTAGTCTCTTATAGAACAGATTTTAAACCAACAAAGATCAAAAGAGACAAAGAAGGCCATTACTTAATAGTAAAGGGATCAATTCAAGAAGAAGAGCTAACTATCCTAAATATATATGCACCCAATACAGGGGCGCCCAGATTCATAAAGCAAGTCCTGACTGACCTACAAAGAGACTTAGACTCCCACACATTAATAATGGGAGACTTTAACACCAAACTGTCAACATTAGACAGATCAACAAGACAGAAACCGCTTCATCCTAAAAACTCTCAATAAATTAGGTATTGATGGGACATATTTCAAAATAATAAGAGCTATCTATGACAAACCCACAGCCAATATCATACTGAATGGGCAAAAACTGGAAGCATTCCCTTTGAAAACTGGCACAAGACAGGGATGCCCTCTCTCACCACCTATTCAACATAGTGTTGGAAGTTCTGGCCAGGGCAATTAGGCAGGAGAAGGAAATAAAGGGTATTCAATTAGGAAAAGAGGAAGTCAAAGTGTCCCTGTTTGCAGACGACATGATTGTATATCTAGAAAACTCCATTGTCTCAGCCCAAAATCTCCTTAAGCTGATAAGCAACTTCAGCAGAGTCTCAGGATACAAAATCAATGTACAAAAATCACGAGCATTCTTATATACTAACAACAGACAAACAGAGAGCCAAATCATGAGTGAACTCCCATTCACAATTGCTTCAAAGAGAAAAAAATACCTAGGAATCCAACTTACAAGGGATGTGAAGGACCTCTTCAAGGAGAACTACAAACCACTGCTCAAGAAAATAAAAGAGTACACAAACAAATGGAAGAACATTCCATGCTCATGGGTAAGAAGAAACAATATCGTGAAAATGGCCATACTGCCCAAGGTAATTTACAGATTCAATGCCATCCCCATCAAGCTACCAATGACTTTCTTCACAGAATTGGAAAAAACTACTTTAAAGTTCACATGGAACCAAAAAAGAGCCCGCATCACCAAGTCAATCCTGAGTCAAAAGAACAAAGCGGGAGGCATCACACTACCTGACTTCAAACTATACTACAAGGCTACAGTAACCAAAACAGCATGGTACTGGTACCAAAGCAGAGATATAGATCAATGGAACAGAACAGAGCCCTCAGAAATAATGCCACATATCTACAACTATCAGATCTTTGACAAACCTGAGAAAAACAAGAATGGGGAAAGGATTCCCTATTTAATAAATGGTGCTGGGAAAACTGGCTAGCCATATGTAGAAAGCTGAAACTGGATCCCTTCCTTACACCTTACACAAAAATTACTTCAAGATGGATTAAAGACTTAAACGTTAGACCTAAAACCATAAAAACCCTAGAAGAAAACCTAGGCATTAACATTCAGGACATAGGCATGGGCAAGAACTTCATGTCTAAAACACCAAAAGCAATGAAAACAAAAGCCAAAATTGACAAATTGGATCTAATTAAACTAAAGAGCTTCTGCACAGCAAAAGAAACTATCATCAGAGTGAACAGGCAACCTACAAAATGGGAGAAAATTTTCACAACCTACTCATCTGACAAAGGGCTAATATCCAGAATCTACAATGAACTCAAACAAATTTACAAGAAAAAAACAAACAACCCCATCAAAAAGTGGGCAAAGGACATGAACAGACACTTCTCAAAAGAAGACATTTATGCAGCCAAAAAACACATGAAAAAATGCTCACCATTACTGGCCATCAGAGAAATGCAAATCAAAACCACAGTGAGATGCCGTTTCACACCACTTAGAATGGCAATCATCAAAAAGTCAGGAAACAACAGGTGCTGGAGAGGATGTGGAGAAACAGGAACACTTTTACACTGTTGGTGGGACTGTAAACTAGTTCAACGATTGTGAAGTCAGTGTGGCGATTCCTCAGGGATCTAGAACTAGAAATAGCATTTGGCCCAGCCATCCCATTACTGGGTATATACCCAAAGGACTATAAATCATGCTGCTATAAAGACACATGCACACGTATGTTTATTGTGGCATTATTCACAACAGCAAAGACTTGGAACCAACCCAAATGTCCAACAATGATAGATTGGATTAAGAAAATGTGGCACATATACACCTTGGAATACTATGCAGCCATAAAAAATGATGCGTTCATGTCCTTTGTAGGGACATGGATGAAATTGGAAATCATCATTCTCAGTAAACTATCACAAGAACAAAAAACCAAACACCACATATTCTCACTCATAGGTGGGAACTGAACAATGAGAACACATAAACACAGGAAGTGGAACATCACACTGTGGGGACTGTTGTGGGGTGGTTGGAGGGGTGAGGGATACCATTGGGATATATACCTAATGCTAAGTGATGAGTTAGTGGGTGCAGCGCACCAGCATGGCACATGTAAACATATGTAGCTAACCTGCACATTGTGCACAAGGACCCTAAAACTTAAAGTATAATAATAAATAAATAAGTAAATAAATAAAATAAATAAATCTATGAACATAAAAGAAATAAAATCCAAACTGCTCTTTAAAAAAAAAAAACTTGACAGAAAAATTCTGAGAAACTTCTTTGTGATGTGTGCGTTCACCTCAGAGAGTTCAACCTTTCTTTTGATTGAGCAGTTTGGAAATACTCTTTCTGTAGAATCTGCAGGTGCACATTTGGAGTGCTTTGCAGCCTATGGTAGAAAAGGAAATATCTTCACATAAAATTTAGACAGAAGCAATCTGAGAAACTTCTTTGTAATATGTGCAATCGTATCACAGACTTAAACCTTTCTTTTGATAGAGCAGTTTTGAAACTCTCTTTTTGTAGAATCTGCAAGTGTACATTGGAGCGCTTTGAGGCCTATGGTGGAAAAGGTAATATCTTCAACATAAAAACTAGACCGAAGAATTTCGACAAACTTCTTTGTGATGTGTGCGTTCATTTCACAGAGTTAGAAGCGCTCAGTGGCCTATGGTACAAAAGGAAGTATTTTCACATGAAACCTGGACAGAAGCAGTCTCAGAAACTTCTTTGTGATGTGTGCATTCATCTCACACAGTTAAAACTTCCCTTTGATTGAGCAGTTTAGAAACTCCCTTTTGTAGAATCTGCAAGTGTACATTTGAAGCGCTTTGAGGCCTATGGTGAAAAAGGTAATATCTTCACATAAAAACCAGACAGAAGAATTCTGAGAAACTTCTTTGTGATATCTGCATTCATCTCACAGATTTGAACCTTTCTTTTGATTGAGCAGTTTGGAATCACTCTTTTTGTAGAATCTGCAAGTGGACATTTGGTGCTCTTTGCGGCCTGTGGTAGATAAGGTAATATCTTCACATACATTCCAGACAGAAGCAATCTGAGAAACTTCTTTGTGATGTGTGCATTCATGTCACAGAGTTAAACCTTTCTTTTGATTGAGCAGTTTAGAAACTCTCTTTTTGTAGAATCTGCAAGTAGACATTTGGAGAACTTTGTGGCCTATGGTCATCTCATAGAGTTGAACCTTACTTTTGATTGAGCAGTTCAGAAACCCTATTTTTGTATAATCTGCAAGCGCAATGCGGCCTATGGTAGAAAGGAAATATCTTCACATAAAATCTAGACAGAAGCAATCTGAGAAACTTCTTTGTGATGGGTGCATTCATCTCACAGAGATAAAAATTTCTTTTCATTGAGCAGTTTTGAAAATCTCTTTTAGTTGAATCTGCAAATGGACATTAGGAGCGCTTTGTGGTCAATGGTGGAAAAGGAAATATCTTCACATAAAACTAGAGAGTAGAATTCTGAGAAACTTCTTTGTGATGTGTGCATTCATTTCACAATGTTGAACCTTTCTTTAGATTGAGCAGTATGGAAACACTCTTTTTGTAGAATCTGCAAGTGGACATTTGGAGAGCTTTGTGGCCTATGGCAGAAAAGGAAATATCTTCAAATAAAATCTAGACAGAAGCAATCTGAGAAACTTCTTTGGGATGTGAGCATTCATCTCAAAGATGTAAAGCTTTCTTTTGATTGATGAGTTTTGAAACTCTCTTTTTGTAGAATCTGCAAGTGGACATTTGGAGCGCTTTGAAGCCTATCGTGGAAAAGGAAATATCTTCACATAAAAACCAGGCAGAAAAATTCTGAGAAACGTCTTTGCAATGTGAGGGTTCATGTCACAGAGTTGAACCTTTCTTTTGGTTGAGCAGTTTGGAAACATTCTTTTTGTAGAATCTGCTAGTGGACAATTTGGAGAGCTTTGCGGCCTATGGTAGAAAAGGAAATATCTTCACATAAAATATAGACAGAAGCAATCTGAGAAACTTCTTTGTGATGTGTGCGTTCATCTCACAGAGTTAAAACTTACTTTTGATTGAGCAGTTTTGAAACTCCCTTTTTGTAGAATCTGCAACTGTATATTTGGAATGCTTTGAGGCCTATGGTGGAACAGGAAATATCTTCACATAAAAACTATACAGAAGAAATTTCAGAAACTACTTCATGATGTGTGCATTCATCTTACAGAGTTGAAACTTTCTTTTGATAGTGTAGATTTGAAACTCACTTTTTGTAGAATGTGCAAGTAAACATTTCGATTTCTTTGTGGCCCATGGTAGAAAAGGAAATATCTTCACATAAAAAGTAGACAGAAGAATTCTGAGAAAGTTCTCTGTGATGTGTGCATTCATCTAACAGAGTTGAAACTTTCATTTGATTAAGCAGTTTGGAAATACTCTTTTTGTAGAAACTGCAATTAGACATTGGGAGTGCTTTGTGGCCTATGGTAGGAAAGGAAATATCTTCACATAACATCTAGACAGAAGGAATCAGAGAAATTTCTTTGTAATGTGTGCATTCATCTCACAGATTTAAAACTTGGTTTTGATTGAGCAGTTTTCAAACTCCTTTTTGTAGAGTCTGCAAGTGGACATTTGTAGCGCTTTGAGGGCTAAGGTGGAAAAGGAACATAAAAACTACACAGGGAATTCTGAGAAGCTTCTTTTTGATGTGTGCATTCATCTCACAGAGTTGAACTTTTCTTTTGATAGAGCTGTTTGGAAACACTCTTTTTGTAGAATCTGCAAGTGGATATTTGGAGCACTTTGAGGCCTCTTGTAAAAAAGGAAATATCTTCACACAAAATCTAGACAGAAGGAATCTGAGAAACTTCTCTGTGATGTATGCATTCATCTCACAGTGTTAAACCTTTCTTTTGATAGAGTTGTTTTGAAACTTTCTTTTTGTAGAATCTGCAAGTGGAGTGCCTTGAGTCCTATGGTAGAAAAGGTAATATCTTCACATAAAAACTGGACAGAAAAATTCACAAAAACCTCTTTGTGATGTGTGCTTACATCTCACAGAGTAGAACCTTACTTTTGATGGACCAGTTTTGAAATATTCTTTTTGTAGAATCTGCAAGTGGGCATTTCGAGCGCCTTGAGGCCTATGGTCGAAAATGAAATATCTTCACATAAAAACTATATGGAAGAATTCTGAGAAACTACTTTGTGATGCGTGCAGTCATCTCACAGAGTTGAACCTTTATTTTGATTGAGCAGTTTGGAAACACTCTTTTTGTACAATCTGCAAGTGGGAATTTGGACCGCTTTGTGGCCTATGGTAGAAAAGGAAATATCTTCACATAAAATCTAGACAAAAGAAATCTGAAAAAACTTCATTGTGATGTATGCATTCATCTCACAGAGATAAACCTTTCTTTTGATAGAGCAGTTTTGAAACTCTCTTCAGTCTCTTCTTGTAGAATCTGGAAGTGGAGTACTTTGAGGCCTATGGTGGAAAAGGTAATATCTTCAAATAAAAACTAAATAGAAGAATTCTGACAAACTTCTTTGTGATGTGTGCATGCATCTCACAGAGTTGAACCTTACTTTTCATGGACCAGTTTTGAAATATTCTTTTTGTAGTATCTGCAAGTGGGCATTTCGAGCGCCTTGAGGCCAATGGTCGAAAATGAAATATCTTCACATAAAAACTAGAGAGAAGAATTCTGAGAAACTTGTTTGTGATATGTGATTTAATTCCACAGAGTTGAACCTTTCTTTTGATTGAGCAGTTTGGAAAGACTCTTTTAGTAGAGTCTGCAAGCAGATATTTGGATCGCTTTGTGGCCCATGCTAGAAAAGAAAATATCTTCCCATGAAATCTAGACAGAAGGAATCTGAGAAACTTCTTTCTGATGTGTGCATTCATCTCACGGAGTTGAATCTTTCCTATGATTGAGAAGTTTTGAAACGCTCTTTTTGTAGAATCTGCAAGTGGACATTTGGATCGCTTTGAGGCCTATGGTGGAAAAGGAAATATCTTCACATAAAAACTAGACAGAAGATTTCTGAGAAACTTCTTTGTGATGTGTTCATTCATCTCACAGAGTTGAATCTTACATTTAATTGAGCACTTTGGAAACACTCTTTTTGTGGAATCTGCAAGTGGACATTTGGATGGTTTGGGGCCCATTATAGAAAAGGGAATATCTTCACATAAAATGTAGACAAAAGCAGTCTGATAAACTTCTTTGTGATGTGTGCATTCATCTCACAGTGTTAAAACTTTCTTTTGATGTAGTAGTTTGGAAACACTCATTTTGTAGAATCTGTAATTGTACATTTGGAGCGCTATGAGGCCTATGGTGGAAAATGAAATATCTTCACATTAAAACTAGAAAGAAGAATTCTGAGAAACTTCTTTGTGATGTGTCAATTCATCTCACAGAGATGAACTATTTTTGATTGAGCAGGTTGGAAACACTCTTTCTGTAGAGTCTGCCAGTTGACACTTGGAGCCTTTGTATCCTATGTTAGAAAAGGAAATATCTTCACATAAAATCTAGACAGAAGCAATCTGAGAAACTTCTTTGTGATGTGTTCATTCATTTCACAGAGTCGAACCTTTCTTTTGATTGAGCAGTTTTGAAACTATCTTTTTGTAGAATCTGCAAGTGGATATTTGGAGCTCTTTGAGGCCTACAGTGGAAAAGGAAATATCTTCACATAAAAACTAGACAGAAGAATTCTGAGAAACATCTTTGTGATGTGCTCATTCATCTCACAGAGTTGAACTTTTCTTTTGATTGAGCAGTTTGGAAATACTCTTTGTGCAGAATCTGCAAGTGGACATTTGGTGTGCTTTGCGGCCTATTTTAGAAAAGGAAATATCTTCCAATAAAATCTAGGCAGAAGCAATCTGTGAAATTTCTTTGTGATGTGTGCATTCATGTCACCGAGTTAAACCTTTCTTTTGATAGAGCAGTTTTGAAACTCTCTTTTTGTAGAATCTGCAAGTAGACATTTGGAGTGCTTTGAGGCCCATGGTGGAAAAGGCAATATCTTCACATAAAAACTAGACAGAAGAATTCTGACAAACATTTTTGTGATGTGTGTGTTCATCTCACAGAGTAGAACAATTCTTTTAATTCAGCAGTTTGGAAAGACTGTTTTTGTGGAATCTGCAAGTGGACATTTGGAGTGCTTTGCAGCCTATGGAAGAAAAGGAAATATCTTCATATAAAATCTAGACAGAAGCAATCTGAGCAACTTTTTTATGATGTGTGCATTCATCTCACAGAGTTAAACCTTTCTTTTGATTAAGCAGTTTTGAAATTCTCTTTTTGTAGAATCTGCAAGTGGTTATTTGGAACACTTTGAGGCCTATGTTGGAAAAGGAAATATCCTCACATAAAATCTAGACAGAAGAATTCTGAGAAACTTCTTCATGATGTGTGTGTTCATCTCACTGAGGTGAACCGTTCTTTTGATTAAGTAGTTTGGTAATACTCTTTTTGTAGAAATTGCAAGTGGACATTTGGAGCACTTTGTGGCCTATGGTAGAAAAGGAAATACCTTCACATAAAAACTAGACAGAAGAATTCTGAGTAACTTCTTTGTGATGTGTCAATTCATCTCACAGAGTTGAACATTCTTTTTGATTGAGCAGTTTGGAAACACTCCTTCTGTAGAATCTGGAAGTGGACATTTGGAGCGCTTTGAGGCCTATGGTGGAAAAGGAAATATCTTCACAAAAACTAGACAGAAGAATTCTGAGAAACTTCTTTGTGATGTGTTCGTTCATCTCACAGAGTTTAACCTTTCTTATGATTGAGCAGTTTGGAAACAATCTTTTTGTAGGATCTGCATGTGGACGTTTGGAGCACATTGTGGCCTATTTTAAAAAAGGAAATATCTTCACATAAAATCAAAGCAGAAGCAATCTGAAAAACTTCCTTCTGATTCGTGCATTCATCTCACAGAGTTATACCTTTCTTTTGATAGAGCAGTTTTGAAACTCTCTTTTTGTGGAATCTACAAGTGGACATTTGGAGGGCTTTGAGGCCTATGGTGGAAAAGGAAACATCTTCACATAAAAACTAGACAGAAGCATTCTGGGAAACTTCTTTGTGATTTGTACCTTCAGCGATTTGAAGCTTTCCTTTCATTGAGCAGCTTGGAAACACACTTTTTGTAGAATCTGCAAGCGGACATTTGGAGCACTTGCGGCCTATGGTAGAAAAGGAAATGACTTCACATAAAATCTAGACAGAATCAATCTGAGAAACTTCTTTGTGATCTGTGCATTCATCTCAGAGAGTTAAACCTTTCTTTTGATTGAGCAGTACGGAAACTCTCTTTTTGTAGGATCTGCAAGTGGACATTTGGAGCGCTTTGAGGCCTATGGTGGAAAAGTAAATATCTTCACATAAAAACTAGACAGAAGAATTCTGAGAAACTTCTTTGTGATGTGTGCATTCATCTCACAGAGTTGAACATTTCTTTTGATTGAGCAGTTTGGAAACACTTTTTGTAGAATCTGCAAGTGGACATTTTGAGTGGTTTGTGGCCTATTTTAGAAAAGGAAATATCTTCACATAAAATCTAGACATAAGCAATCTGAGGAACTTCTTTGTGATCTGTGCATTCATGTCAGAGAGTTAAACCTTTCTTTTGATTGAGCAGTATTGAAACTCTCTTTTTGTAGGATCTGCAAGTGGACATTTGGAGCGCTTTGAGGCCTATGGTGGAAAAGTAAATATCTTCACATAAAAACTAGACAGAAGAATTCTGAGAAACTTCTTCGTGATATGTTTGTTCATCTCACACAGTTGAGCCTTTCTTTTGATTAAGTAGTTTGGTAATACTCTTTTTGTAGAAATTGCAAGTGGACATTTGGAGCGTTTTGTGGCCTCTGGTAGAAAAGGAAATACCTTCACATAAAAACTAGACAGAAGAATTCTCTGAGAAACTTCTTTGTGATGTGTCAATTCATCCCACAGAGTTGAACATTCCTTTTGATTGAGCAGTTTGGAAACACTCCTTTTGCAGAATCTGGAAGTGGACATTTGGAGCGCTTTGAGGCCTATGGTGGAAAAGGAAATATCTTCACATAAAATCTAGACAGAAGCAACCTGAGAAACTTCTTTGTGATGTGTGCATTCACCTCACAGAGTTAAAACTTTGTTTTGATTGAGGAGTTTTGAAACTCTCTTTTTATAGAATCTGCAAGTGGACATTTGAAGCGCTTTGAGGCTTATGGTGGAAAAAAAATATCATCACATAAAAACCAGACAGAAAAATTCTGACAAATGGCTTTTTGATGTGTGCATTCATCCCACTGAGTTGAAATTTACTTTGCATTGAGCAGTTTTGAAACATTGTTTTTGTGGAATCTGCAAGTTTACCTTTGAAGCGCTTTGAGGCCTTTGGTGGATAACGAACTATCTTCATATAATAACTAGACAGAAGAATTCTGGGAAATATCTTTGTGATGTGTGCATTCATCTCACATAATTGAAACTTTCTTTTGATTGGGCAGTTTTGAAACACTCTTTTTGTAGAATCTGCAAGTGGACATTTGGAGCTCTTTGAGGCCTATTGTGGAAAAGGAAATATCTTCACATAAAAACTACATAGAAGCATTCTGAGAGCCTTCTTTGAGATGAGTGCCTTCATCTGACAGGGTTTATCCTTTCTTTTGACTGAGTACTTTTGAAACACTGCTTTTGTGGTATCTGCAAGTGGATACTGGGAGCGTTTTCAGGCCGACTGTGGAAAAGCAAATATCTTCACAGAAAAACTACACAGAAGCATTCTGAGAAACTTCTTGGTGATGTGTGCATTCATCTCACAGAGTTGAACCTTTCTTTTGATTGAGCGTTTTTGAAACATGCTTTTTGTAGTATCTGCAAGTGGATATTTGGAGGGATTTGAGGCCTATTGTGGAAAACCAAATATCTTCACATGAAAACGACACAGAAGCATTCTGAGAAACTTCTTTGTGATGTGTGCATTCACCTCACAGAGTGGAACCTATCTTTTGATTGAGCAGTTTTGAATCTCTCTGTTTGTAGAATCTGAAAGTGGATATTTGGAGACCTTGGCGGCCGATGTTGGAAAAGGAAATATCTTTAAATAAAAATTACACAGAAGCATTCTGAGAAACATTTGTGATGTGTGCATTCATCTCACTGTGTTGAAACTATGTTATGATTGAGCAGTTTTGAAACACTCTTATTGTAGAATCTGAAGGTGGATACTTGGGTCGCTTTGAGGCCTATGGTAGAAAAGGAAATATCTTCACACAAAAACTACACAGAAGCATTCTGAGAAACTTCTTTGTTATGTATGCATTCATCTCACTTTGTTGATCCTTTCTTTTGATTGAGCAGTTTTGATACAGGTTTTTTCAGCTAATGCAAGTGGATATTTGGAGTGCCTTGAGGCCTAATGTGGAAAACCAAATATCTGCATATAAAAACTAAATAGAAGCATTCTGAGAAACTTCTTTGTGATGTGTGCATACATCTTCCAGAGTTGAAACTTTCTTTCGATTGTGTAGTTTTGAAACACTCTTTTTTTAGAATCTGAAAGTGGGTATTTGGAGGGATTTGAAGCCTATTGTGGAAAAGGAAATATCTTCGCATAAAAACTACGCAGAATCTTTCAGAGAAACTTCTTTGTGATGTGTGCATTCAACACACAGAGTTGAACCTATCTTTTGATTGAGCAGTTTTGAAACACTCTTTTCGTAGAATCTGCAAGTGGATACTTGGAGTGATTTGGGGTCTACTGTGGTGAAGGAAATATCTTCACATAACAACTACACAGAAGCATTCTGAGAAACTTCTTTGTGGTGTGTGCATTCAACTCATGGAGTTAATCCTGTATTTTGATTGAGCAGTTTTGAATCTCTCTTTTAGCAGAATCTGCAAGTGGATATTTGGAGAGCTTTGAGTCCTAATGTAGAAAAGGAAATATCATCAAATAAAAACTATACAGAAGCATTCTGAGAAACATATTTGTGATGTGTGCATTCAACTCACAGAGTTTAACCTATCTTTTGATTGAGCAGTTTTGAATCTCTGTTTTGGTAGAATCTGCAAGTCGATATTTGGATCCCTTTGATGTCTATGGTGGAAAAGGAAATACCTTCAAATAAAAACTACACAAAAGCATTCTGAGAAACTTATTTGCGATTTGTGCATTCATCTCACTTGGTTGAACCAATCTTATGATTGAACAGTTTTAAAACACTCTTTTTGTATAATTTGCAAGTGGATATTTGGAGCATTTTGAGGCCTATAGTGGAAAAGGAAATATCTTCACATAAAAACTACAGAGAAGCATTCTGAGAAACTTCTTTGAGATCTGTGCACTCATCTCACAGAGTTAAACCTTTCTTTTGATTGAGCAGTTTTGAAACACTGTTTTTGTAGAATCTGCAAGTGGATATTTGGAGCACTTTGAGGCCTATGGGGAAAAAGGTTATATATTCACATAAAAACTAGACAGAAGAATTCTGACAAACTTCTTTGGAATGTGTGCATTCATTACACAAAGTTGAACCTTTCTTTTGATTGAGCAGTTTGGAAACACTCTATTTGTAGAATCTTCAAGTGGACATTTGGATCGGTTTTTGGACTATGGTACAAAACGAAATATCTTCACATAAAATCTAGACAGAAGCAATCTGAAAACTTCTTTGTGATGTGTGCATTCATTTCATAGAGTTAAACCTGTTTTTTGAATGAGCAGTTTGGAAACACTCTTTTTGTAGAATCTGCAATTGGACATTGGGAGCACTTTGTGGCCTATGGTAGGAAAGGAAATATCTTCACATAACATCTAGACAGAAGCAATCAGAGAACCTTCTTTGTGATGTGTGCATTCATCCCACAGATTTAAAACTTTGTTTTGATTGAGCAGTTTTCAAACTCCCTTTTTGTAGAAACTGCAAGTGGATATTTGCAGTGCTTTGAGGACTATGGTGGAAAAGGAACATAAAAACTAGACAGAGAATTCTGAGAAACTTCTTTGTGATATGTGCATTCACCTGACAGAGGTGAACCTTTCTTTTGATAGAGCTGTTTGGAAACACTCTTTTTGTAGAATCTGCAAGTGGATATCTGGAGCACTTTGTGACCTCTAATAGAAAAAGAAATATCTTCAGATAAAATCTAGACAGAAGTAGTCTGAGAAACTTCTTTGTGATGTGTGCATTCACCTCACATAGTTAAATCTTTCTTTTTATTGAGCAGTTTTGAAACTCTCTTGTTGTAGAAACTGCAGGTGGATATTTGGTTCACTTTGAGGCTTATGCTGGAAAAGGTAATACTTTCAAATAATAACTAGACAGGAGAATTCTGACACACTTCGTGGTGATGTGTGCGTTCATCTCACAGAGTTGAACCTTTCTTTAGATTGAGCAGTTTGGAAACACTCTTTTTGTAGAATATGCAAGTGGACATTTGGAGCGCTTTGCAGCCTATTGTAGAAAAGGAAATACCTTCACATAAAATCTAGACACAAGGAATCTGAGAAACTCCATTGTGATGTATGCATTCATCTCACAGATTTAAAGCTTTCCTTTTATAGAACTGTTCTGAAACTCTTTTTTTTGTAGAATCTGCAAGTGGAGCACTTTGCGGCCTATGGTAGAAAAGGAAATATCTTCACATAAAATCTAGAAAGAAGCAATCTGAGAAACTTCTTTGTGATGTGTGCATTCATCTTACAGAGTTAAACATTTTAGTTGATTGAGCAGTTTTGAATCTCTCTATTTGTAGAATTTGCAAGCGGACATTTGAAGCCCTTTGATTCCTATGGAGGAAAAGGAAGTATCTTCACATAAAAACTAGACAGAAGAATTCTGAGAAACTTCTTTATGATGTGTGCATTCATCTCACAGAGTTGAATGTCTCATTTGATTCAGCATTTTGGAAACACTCTTTTTGTGGAATCTTCAAATGGACATTTGGAGCACTTTGCGGCCTATGGTCAAAAAAGAAATATCTTCACATAAAATCTAGACAGCAGCAAACTGAGAATCTTCTTTGTGATGTGTGCATTCATCTCACAGAGTCAAATCTGTCTTTTGATTAGGCAGTTTTTAACTCTCTTTTTGTAGAATCTCCAAGTGGACATTTGGAGTGCTTTGAGGCCTATGGTGGAAAAGTAAATATCTTCACATAAAAACTAGACAGAAGAATTCTGAGAAACTTCTTTGTGATGTGTGCATTCATCTCACAGAGTTGAAACTTTCTTTTGATTGAGCAGTTTGGAAACACTCTTTTTGTAGAATCTTCAAGTTGACATTTGGTGTGCTTTGCGGCTTATAGTAGAAAAGGAAATATCTTCACATAAAATCCAGACAGAAAGAATCTGAAAAACTTCTTTGTGATGTGTGCATTCATCTCAGAGAATTAAACATTCCTTTTGATTGAACAGTTTTGAAACTCTCTTTTTGTAGATTGTACAATTGGACATTTGGAGCATTTTGAGGCCTATGGTGGAAAAGGAAATATCTTCACAATAAACTAGACAGAAGTTTTCCGAGAAACTTCTTTGTGATATGTGTATTCACCTCACAGAATTGTACCTTTCTTTTGATTAAACAGTTTGGAAACACTCTTTTTGTAGAATCTGCAAGTGGACATTTGGAGAGCTTTACGCCCTTTGGTAGAATAGGAAATATCTTCACATAAAATCCGGACAGAAGGAATCTGAGAAACTTCTTTGTGATATGTGCATTCATCTCACAGAGTTAAACCTTTCTTTTGATTGGAAAGTTTTGAATCTCTTTTTGCAGAATCTGCAACTGTACATTTGGAGCACTTTGAAGACTATGTTGTAAAGGGAATATCTTCACATTAAAACTAGACAGAAGAATTTTGAGAAACTTCTTTGTGATGTGTGCATTCATCTTACAGTGTAGAGTCTTTCTTTTGATTGAGCAGTTTGGAAACATTCTTTTTGTAGAATCTGCAAGTGGACATTTGGAGCGCTTTGTGGCCTATGGTAGAAAAGGAAATATCTTCACTTAAAATCTAGACAGAAGCAATCTGAGAAACTTCATTGCGATGTAGGCATTCATGTCACAGAGTTAAACTTTTCTTTTGATAGAGCAGTTTTGAAACTCTCTTTTATAGAATCTGGAAGTGGAGCACTTTGAGGCCTGTGGTGGAAAAGCTAATATCTTCATATGAAAACCAGACAGAAGAATTCTGACAAACTACTTTGTGATGTGTGCATTCATCTCACAGAGTTGAACCTTACTTTTGATGGGCCAGTTTTGAAATATTCTTTTTGTACAATCTGCATGTGCGCAGTTTGAGTGTCTCGAGGCCTATGGTGGAAAATGAAATATCTTCACAAAAAAACTAGACAGAAGTATTCTGAGAAACTTCTTTGTAATGTGTCCATTCATCTATCAGGTATGAAACTTATTTTTGATGGACCAGTTTTGAAATATTATTTTTGTAGTATCTGCACTTGGGCATTTTGAGCACCTTGAAGCCTATTGTGTAAAATAAAACATCTTCACATAAAAACTAGACAGAAGGTTTCTGAGAAACTTCTTTGTGAGATGTTCGTTCATCTCACATAGTTGAACCTTACTTTTGATGGAGCAGTTTGGAAACACTATTTTTGTAGTATTTGCAAGTGGACATTGGGAGCACTTTGCAGCCTGTTTTAGAAAAGGGAATATCTTCACATAAAATCTAGACAGAAGCAGTCTGATAAACTTCTTTGTGATGTGTGCATTCATCTCACAGAATTAAACCTTTCTTTTGATTGAGCAGTTTGGAAACACTCCTTTTGTAGAATCTGCAATAGTACATTTGAAGTGCTTTGAGGCCTATGGAGGAAAAGAAAATATCTTCACATAAAAACTAGACAGAAGAATTCTGAGAAACTTCTTTGTGATGTGTGATTTCATCTCACAGAGTTGAACTTTTTTTGATTGAACAGTTTGGAAATACTCTTTTTGTAGCATCTGCAAGTCAACATTTGGAGCACTTTGTGGCCTATGTTAGAAAAGAAAATATCTTCTCATAAAATTTAGACAGAAGCAATCTGAGAAACTTATTTGTGATATGTGCATTCATCTCACAGAGTTTAACCATTCTTTTGTTTAAGCAGTTTTGAAACTCTCTTTTTGTAGGATTTGCAAGTGGACATTTGGAGCACTTTCAGGCCTATCGTGGAAAAGGAAATGTCTTCACATAAAAACTAGACAGAAGAACTCTGAGAAACATCTTTGTGATGTGTTTGTTCATCTCACAGAGTTGAACTTTTCTTTTGATTCAGCAGTTTGGAAACACTCTTTGTGCAGAATCTGGAAGTGACATTTGGAGTGCTTTGTGGCCTATTTTAGAAAAGGAAATATCTTCCAATAAAATCTAGGCAGAAGCAATCTGAGAAACTTCTTTGTGATGTGTGCATTCATGTCACAGAGTTAAACCTTTCTTTTGATAGGGTAGTTTTGAAACTCTCTTTTTGTAGATTCTGCAAGTGGAAATTTGTAGCACTTTGAGGCCTATGGTGGAAAAGGTAATACCTTCACATAAAAACTAGACAGAAGAATTCTCAAAAACATCTTTGTGATGTGTGCATTCATATCACAGAGTTGAACATTTCTTTCATTTGAGCAGTTTGGAAACACTGTTTTTGGAGGATCTGCAAGTGGATATTGGGAGCACTTTGCAGCCTATTTTAGAAAAGAAAGTATCTTCACATAAAATCTAGGCAGAAGCAATATGAGAAACCCTTTTGTGATGTGTGCATTCATGTTACAGAGTTAAACCTTTTTTTTGATAGAGCAGTTTTGAAACTCTCTTTTTGTATAATTTACAAGTGGAAATTTGGAGTGCTTTGAGGTCTGTGGTGGCAAAGGTAATATCTTCACATAAAAACTAGACAGAAGAATTATGAAAAACAACTTTGTGATGTGTGCATTCATCTCACTGCGTTGAACATTTCTTTTAGTTGAGCAGTTAGGAAACACTGCTTTTGTAGAATCTGGAAGTGGACATTGGGAGCCCTTTGTGGCCTATGGTAGAAAAGGAAATACCTTCACATAAAATGTAGACAGAAGCAATCTGAGAAACTTCCTTGTGATGTGTGCATTCATCTCACAGATTTAAACCTTTCTTTTTATTAAGCATTTTTGAAACTCTCTTTTTGTAGATTCTGCAAGTGGATATTTGGAATGCTTTGAGGCCTATGGTGGAAAAGGAAATATCTTCACATGAAAACTAGATAGAAGAATTCTCAGAAACTTCTTCATGATGTGTGTGTTCATCTCACAGAGTTGAAACTTTCTTTTGATTAAGTAGTTTGGAAATACTCTTTTTGTAGAAATTGAAAGTGGACATTTGGAGGGCTTTGTGGCCTATGGTAGAAAAGGAAATATCTTCACATAAAAATTAGACAGAAGAATTCTGAGAAACTTCTTTGTGATGTGTCAATTCATCTCACAGAGTTGAACCTTCCTTTTGATTGAGCAGTTTGGAAACACTGCTTTTGTACAATCTGCAAGTGGACATTTGGAGCACTTTGAGGCCTAAGGTGGAAAAGGAGATGAAAAAAACTAGACTGAAGAATTCTGAGAAACTTCTTTGTGATGTGTTGCTTCATTTCACAGAGGTGAAACTTCCTTTTGATTGAGCAGTTTGGGAACACTCTTTTTGTAGAATCTGCATGTGGACATTTGGAGGGCTTTGTGGCCTATTTTAGAAAAGGAAACATCTTCACATAAAATCTAGACAGAAGCAATCTGAGAAATTTTGTGATGTATGCATTCATCTCACAGAGTTGATCCTTTCTTTTGATTGAGCAGTTTCGATACACTGCTTTTGTAGAGTCTGCAAGTGGATATTTGGAGCAATTTGAGGCCTATTGTGGAAACAGAAATATCTTCATATAATAACTACACAGAAGCATTCTGAGAAACTTCGTTGTGATGTGTACATTCAACTCACAGTGTTGAACCTATTTTTTGATTGAGAAGTTTTTAATCTCTCTTTTTGTAGAATCTGCAAGTGGATATTTGGAGACCTTTGCACTCTATGGTGGAAATGGAAATATCTTCAAATACAAACTACACAG
>NT_187433.1:63653-97352 GCF_000001405.40 Homo sapiens
TTTTTAGGGCTTAGAGGCCTCTTTTGGAAAAGGAAATTTCTTCACATAAAAACTACACAAAAGCATTCTAAGAAACTTCTATAGTTATGTGTGCATTCCACAAACAGAGTTGAACTTATCTTTGATTGAGCAGTTTTGAATATCTCTTTTTGCAGAATCTGCAAGTGGATATTTGGAGCACTTTGAGGTCTATTGAGAAAAAGCAAATATCTTCACATAAAAACTATGCAGAAGCATTCTCAGAAACTTTCTTGTGAGGTGTTCATGCAACTCACAGACTCGAACCTATCTTTTGATTGATCAGGTTTGAATCTCTCTTTTTGTAGTATCTGCAAGTGGATATTTGGAGAGCTTTGAGGCCTATTGTGGAAAAGGAAACATCTTCACATAAAAACTACATAGAAGCATTCTGAGAAACTTCTTTGTGATGTGTGCATTCAACTCACGGAATCGAACCTATATTTTGATGGAGCAGTTTTGAATCTCTCTTTTTGCAGAATCTGCAACGGGATATTTGGAGAGCTTTGAGGCCTATTGTGGAAAAGGAAATATCTTCACATAACAACTACACAGAAGCATTCTGAGAAACTTTTGGTGATTTGTGCATTCAACTCACAGAGTTGAACCTATCTTTTGATTGAACAGTTTTGAATCTCTCTTTTTGTACAATCTGCAAGTGAATATTCAGAGCGTTTTTAAGTCTGTTGTGGAAAAGGAAATATCTTCACATAAATACTACACAGAAGCATTCTGAGAAACTTCTTTGTTATGAGTGCATTCAACACACAGAGTTGAACCTTTCCTTTTAATTGAACAGTTTTGTGAGACTCTTTATGTAGAAACTGCAATGGATATTTGGAAGGTTTTGAGGCCTATTTTGGAAAAGGAAATATCTTCACACCAAAACTACTAAGAAGCATTCTGACAAACTTCTTTGTGATGTGTACATTCAACTCGCAGTGTTGAAATTATCTTTTGATAGAGCAGTTTTGAAAACTCTTTTTGTAGAATCTGCAAGTGGATATTTGGACAGCTTTGAGGCCTATTGTGGAAAAGGAAATATCTTCATGTAAAAACTACACATAGGTATTCTGAGAAACTTCTTTATGATGTGTATATTCATCACACAGATTTTAACATTTTTTTTGATTGAGCAGATTTGAAACACTCTTTTTGTAGAATTTGCAGGTGGATATTTGGAGGGCTTTGAGGCCTATTTTGGAAAAGGAAATATCTTCACATGAAGTCTAAACAGAAGCATTCTGAGAAACATCTTTGTGATGTGTGCATTCAACTCACAGAGTTGAACCAATCTCTTGAGGGAGCAGTTTTGAATCTTTTTGTAGAATCTTCAGCCGTATATTTGGAGCCCTTACCGGCCTATGGTGGAAAAGGAAATATGTTTAAATAAACTCTACATGGAGGGATTGGAGAAATTTCTTTGTGATGTGTGAACTCATCTCACAGAGTTACAACTTTCTTTTAATTGAGCAGTTTTGATACTCTGTTTTCATAGAATCTGCAAGTGGATATTTGGAGTGCTTTGAAGCCTATCATGGAAAAGGAAATATCTTCACATAAAAACTACACAGAAGCATTCTGAGAAACTACTTGGTGATGTATGCATTCATCTCACAGTGTTGAAATTTTCTTTTGAGCAATTTTGAAACGCTGTTTTCATAGAATCTGCAAGTGGATATTCGGAGCGCTTTGAGGCCTACTGTGGAAAAACAAATATCTTCACATAAGAACTATACAGAGGCATTCTGAGAAACTTCTTCATGATGTGTGCATTCAACTCACATAGTTGAACCTATCTTTTCATTGAACAGTATTGAATCTCTCTTCGTAGAATCTGCAACTGGATATTTGGTGACCTTTGTGGCCTATGAATGAAAAGGAAATGTCTTCAAAGAAATAGTACACAGAAGCATTCGGAGAAACTTCTTCATGATGTGTGTATGCATCTCACAGAGGTGAACACTTCATTTGATTGAGCAGTTTTGAAACACTCTCTTTGTAGAATCTGTAAGTGGATACTTGGAGCGTTTAGAGGCCTACTGTGGAAAAGGAAATATCTTCACATAAAAACTACACAGAAGCATTCTGAGAAACTTCTTTGAGATGTGTGCATTCATCTCACAGAGTTGAACATTTCTTTTGATTGAGCAGTTTTGAAACAATCTTTTTGTAGAATCTGCAAATGAATATTTAGAGCACTTTGAGGCCTATTGTGAAAAGGAAATATCTTCACATAAAAACTGCACAGAGGCATTCTGAGAAACTACTTTGTGATTTGTGCATTCAACTCACACAGTTGAACCTATCTTTGATTGAGCAGTTTTGAATCTCTCTTTTGGTAGAATCTGAAAGTGGATATTTGGAACCCTTGTGGCCTATGGGGGAAAATGGAATATCTTCAAATATAAACTATACAGAAGAATTCTGAGAAACTTCAATGATATGTGCATTCATCTCACGGTGTTGAACATACCTTATGAATGAGCAGCTTTGTTACACTCTCTTTCTAGAATCTGCAAGTGGATTCTTGGAGCGCTTTGATGCCTATTGGTGAAAAGGAAATATCTTCACATAAGAACTACACAGAAACACTCTGAGAAACTTCTTTGTAATGTGGGCATTCATCTCACAGTGTTGAATCTTTCTTTTGATTGAGTAGTTTTGAAACACTGTTTTTGTAAAATCTGCAAGTGGATATTTGGAGCACTTTCAGATATACCATGGAAAAGAAAATATCTTCACAAAAAAAACTACACAGAGCCGTTGTGAGAAATTACTTTGTGATGTGTGCATTCATCTCACAGAGTTGAAGATTTCTATTGATTGAGAAGTTTTGAAACACTGTTTTTGTAGAATCTACAAGTGAATATTTGGAGCACTTTCAGGTCTACTGTGGAAAAGAAAATATCTTCACAAAAAAAAAACTACACAGAGGCATTGTGAGAAACTTCTTTGTGATCTTTGCATTCGTCTCACAGCGTTGAACCTTTCTTTTGATTGAGCAGTTTTGAAACACTCTTTTTGTAGAATCTGCAACTGGATATTTCGAGTGCTTTGAGGTCTATTGTGGAAAAGGAAATATCTTCAAATAAAAACTACAGAGAAGCATTCTGAGAAACATCTTTGTTAAGTGTGCATTAAAATCACAGAGTTGAAACTATCTTTTGATTGAGCAGTTTTAAATCTCTCTTTTTGTAGAATCTGCAAAAGGATATTTGGAACGCTTTGAGGCCTATTCTGGAATAGGAAATATCTTCACATAAAAACTACACAGAAGCATTCTGAGAAACTTCTTTGTGATGAGTGTATTCATCATACAGAGTTGAACCTTTCATTAGCTTGACCAGTTTTGTAACACTCTTTATGTAGAATCTGTAAGTGGATATTTGGAGGGCTTTGAGGCCTATTTTGGAAAAGGAAATATCTTCATATAAAAACTGCACATACGCATTCTGAGAAAGTTCTTTTTGATGTGCACATTAATTACACGGATTTTAACATTTCTTTTCATTGAGCAGATTTGAAACACTCTTTTTGTAGAATCTGCAGGTGCATATTTGGAGGGCTTTGAGGCCTATTTTGGAAAAGGAAATATCTTCACATAAAGACTACACAGAAGCATTCTGAGAAATTTCTTTGTGATGTGTGCATTCAACTCACAGAGTTGAGCCAACATTTTGATTGAGAAGTTTTGAATCTCTCTTTCTGTAGAATCTTCAACTGGATATTTGGAGCCCTTTTCCACCTATGGTGAAAAAGGTAATATCTTTAAATAGAAACTACACAGAAGCATTCTGAGAAACTTCTTGGTGATGTGTGCATTCTTCTCACAGTTGAACCTATCTTATCATTGAGCACTTTTCAAATACCCTTTTTGTGCAATCTGCTAAAGGATATATGGAGCGCTTTGAAGCCTATTGTGGAAAAAGGAATATCTTCACACAATAACTACACAGAAACATTCTGAGAAATTTCTTTGGGATGTGTGCATTCATCTCACAGAGTTGAAACTTTCTTTTGATTGAGCAGTTTTGAAACACTCTTTTTGTAATATATGCAAGTGGATATTTGGAGAGATTTGAGACCTACTGTAGAAAAGCATATATCTTCACATAAAAACTACACAGAAGCATTCTGAGAAACTTCTTTGTGATGTGTGCATTCATCTCATGGAGTTGAAACTTTCTTTTGATTGAGCACTTATGAAACACTCTTTTTCTAGAATCTGCAAGTAGGTATTTGGAGGGCTTTGAGGCCTATTGTGGAAAGGAAAATATCTTCACATAAAAAGTACACAGAAGCATTCTGAGAAACTACTTTTGATGCGTGCATTCAACTCACATAGTTGAAACTTTCTTTTGACTGAGCGGTTTGAAACTGTTTTTGCAGAATCTGCTAGTGGATATTTGGAGCACTTTGTGGCCTACTGTGGAAAAGCAAATATCTTCACAAAAAAAACCACACAGAGACATTCTGAGAAACTTCTTAATGATGAGTGCATTCATCTCACAGAGTTGAACCTATCTTATGATTGAGCAGTTGTGAAATACTCTTTCTGTAGAATGTGCAAGTGGATATTTGGAGCAGTTTGAGGCCTATTGTGGAAAAGGAAATATCTTCACGTAAAAGATACACAGAAGCGTTCTCAGAAACTACATTGTGATGTGTGCATTCACCTTACAGAGATGAATCTTTCTTTTGGTTGAGCAGTTTTGAAACACTCTTTTTGTAGCATCTGCAAGTGGATATTTGGAGCTCTTTGAGGCCTATTGTGGAAAAGGAAATATCTTCATATAAAAACTACACAGAACCATTCTGAGAAACTTTTTTGTGATGTGTGCATTCAGCTCATAGGATTGAAACTATTTTATGATTGAGCAGTTTTGAAACACACTTTTTGTACAATCTGAAAGTGGATATTTGGCGTGCATTGAGGCCTCCTCTTTAAAAGGAAATATCTTCACATAAAACATACACAGAAGCATTCTGAGAAACTACTTTGTGATGTGTGCATTCATCACACAGAGTTGAACCTTTCTTTTGATTGAGCAGTTTTGAAACACTCTTTTTGTAGAATCTGCTTTTGGATATTTGGAGAAATTTGATGCATATTGTGCAAAAGGAAATATCTTCAAATAAAGACTACACAGTAGCATTCTGATAAACTTCTTTGTGAATTGTGAGTTCAACTCATAGAGTTTAACCTATGTTTTGTTTGAGCAGTTTTAAATCTCTCTTTTTGTAGAATCTGAAGGTGGATACTTGGAACAGTTTGAGGCCTACTGTGGAAAAGGAAATATCTTCATGTAAAAGGTACACAGAAACATTCTCAGAAACTACATTGTGATGTGTGCATTCACCTTACAGAGATGAACCTTTCTTTTGATTGAGCAGTTTTGAAACACTCTTTCTGTAGCATCTGCAAGTGGATATTTGGAGCTCTTGGAGGCCTATTGTGGAAAAAGAAATATCTTTACATAAAAACTACGTGGAAGCATTCTGAGAAACTTCTTTGTGATGTGTGCATTCACCGCACAGGGTGAAACCTATTTTATGATTGAGCAGTTTTGAAACACTCTTTTTGTAGAATCTGCAAGTGGATATTTGGAGCGCATTGAGGCCTCCTATTTAAAAGAAAATATTTTCACTTAAAGACCACACTGAAGCATTCTGAGAAACTTCTTTGTGATGTGTGCATTCATCTCACAGAGTTGAAACTTTCTTTTTATTGAGCAGTTTTGAAACACTCTTTTTGTAGAATCTGCAAGAGGATATTTGCAACAATTTGAGGCCTATTGCGGAAAAGGAGGTTTCTTCACATAAAAATTACTCAGAAGCATGCTGAGAAACTTCTTTGTGATGTATGCATTCATCTCACAGAGTTGAACCCTTCTTTGGATTGAGCAGTTTTGAAACACACTTTTTGTAGAATCTGCAATTGGTTATTTGGAGTGCTTTGAGGCTTATTGTCTGAAAGGAAATATCTTTACATAAAAACTACACAGAAGCATTCTGAGAAGGGTCTTTGTGTTGTGTGCTTTCATCTCACAGAGTTGAAACTTTCTTTTGATTGAGCAGTTATGAAACACAGTTTTTGCAGAATCTGCAAGTGCATATTAGGAGAGCTTTGAGGCCTACTCTGGAAAAGCAAATATCTTCACATAAAAACTACACAGAAGCATTCTGAGAAACTTCTTTGTGATGTGTGCATTTATCTCAAAGAGTTGAACTTTCTTTTGATTGAGCAGTTTTGTAACACTCTTTTTGTAGAATCTGCAAGAGGATATTTGGAGCACTTTGAGGCCTACAGTGGAATAGGAAATATCGTCACATAAAAAGTACACAGAAGCATTCTGAGAAACTTCTTTGTGATGTGTGCATTCAACTCACAGAGTTGAACCTTTCTTTTGATTGAGTAGTTTTGAAACACTCTATTTTAGAATATGCATGTGGATATTTGGAGTGCTTTGAGGCCAACAGTTGAACAGCAAATATATTCACATAAAAACTACACAGAAGCATTCTGAGAGACTTCTTCGTGATGTGTGCATTTATCTCACACAGCTGAACCTTTCTTTTGTTTGAGCAGTTTTGAAACACAGTCTTTGTAGAATCTGCAAGTGGATATTTGGACAGCTTTGAGGCCTATTTTGGAAGACGAAATATCTTCACATAAAAACTACACAGAAGCATTATTAGAAACTTCTTTGTGATGCGTGCATTCATCCCACAGAATTGAAACTTTTTGATTGAGCAGTTTTGAAACACTGTTTTTGTATAATCTTCAAGTGGATATTTGGAACTCTTTGAGGCCTATTGTGGAAAAGGAAATATCTTCACTTAAAGACCACACAGAAGCATTCTGAGAAACTTCCTTGTAATGTGTGCATTCAACTCACAGATGTGAATCTATCTTTTGATGAGCAGTTTTGAAACTCTCTTTTTGTAGTATCTGCAGTTGTATATTTGGAGCCGTTTGAGGCCTATGGTGGAAAAGGAAATGCCTTCACATAAAAACAAGACAGAAGTATTCTGAGAAACTCCTTTGCAATGTATGCATTCAACTCACAGAATTGAACCTATCTTTTGATTGAGCCTCTTTGAAACTCTCTTTTTGTAGTATCTGCAAGTGGATATTTGGAGCCTTTTGTTGCCTATTGTGGAAAAGGAAATGCCTTCACATAAAAAAAAGACAGAAATATTCTGATAAACTTCTATGTGATGTGTGCATTCTTTTGATTGAGCAGTTTCGAAACAATCTTTTTGAAGTACCTGCAAGTGAATATTTGGAGCACTTTGAGGCCTATTTTGTAAAAGGAAATATCTTCACATAAAAACTACACAGAAGCTTTATGAGAAACTTCTCTGTGATGTGTGCATTCAACTCATGGAGTTGAAACTATTTTATGATTGAGCAGTTTCAAAACACTCTTTTTGTAGAATCTGCAAGTGGATATTTGGAGTGCATTGAGGCCTCCTCTTTAAAAGGAAATATCTTCACATAAAACATATACAGAAGCATTCTGGGAAACCACTTTGTGTTCTGTGCATTCATCTCACTTTCTTTTCATTTAGCAGTTTTGAAACACTCTTTGTAGAATCTGCAAGTGTATAATTGGAGTGCTTTGAGGCCTAATGTTGAAAAGAAAATATCTTCACATGAAATCTACACAGAAGCATTCTGAGAAACCTCCTTTTGATGTGTGCATTCAACACACAGAGTTGAACCTTTCTTTTCATTGAGCAGTTTTGAAAAACTCTTTATGTAGAATCTGCAAGTTGATATTTGGAGTGCTTAGATTCCTATTGTGGAAAAGGAAATAGCTTCACATAAAAACTGGACAGAAGAATTATGAGAAACTTCTGTGCTATGTTTGCATTCATCTCACAGTGTTGAACCTTTATTTTCATTCAGCAGTTTTGAAACTTTATTTCTGTAGAATCTGCAAGTGGATATTTGGAGCGCTTTGAGGCCTATGGTGGAAATGGAAATATCTTCACATAAAAACTACACAGAAGCATTCTGAGAAACACTATTGTCTAGTGTGCATTAAACTCACAGAGTTGAAACTATATATTGATTGAGCAGTTTTGAATCTCTCTTTTTGTAGAATCTGCAAGAGGATATTTGGAGCCCTTTGTGGCCTATGGTGGAAAAGGAAATACCTTCTCATAAAAACTACAAAAGAGATTTCTGAGGAACTTCTTTGTCATGTGTGACTTCATCTCACAGAGTTGAACCTTTCTTTTGATTGAGCAGTTTGGAAACAACCTTTTTGAAGTATCTACAAGTTGATGTTTGGATCGCTTTGTGGCCTATGGTGGAAAAGGAAATATCTTCACGTAAAAACTACACAGAAGCATTCTGAGAAACTTCTTTGTGATGTGTGCATTCAACTCACAGGTTTGAACGTATCTTTTGATTCAGCAATTTTGAAACTCTCTTTTTGTAGAATCCGCAAGTGGATATTTGGAACTATTTGCTACCTATGGTGGAAAAGGAGATATTTTCACATAAAAACTACAGAGAAGCATTCTGAGAAACTTCTTTGTGATGTATGCATTCATCTCACAGAGTTGAACCTTTCTTTTGATTAAGCAGTTATGAAACAGTCTTTTTAAAGGATCAGCAAATGGATATTTGGAGTACTTTTAAGCCTATTGTGTAAAAGGAGATATCTTCACATAAAAACTATGCAGAACAATTCTGAGAAACTACTTTGCAATGTGTGCATTCATCTCACAGAGTTGAACCTTTCTTTTGATTGAGCAGTTTTGAAGCACTCGTTTTGTAGAATCTGCAAGTGGATATTTGGAGCTCTTTGTGGCCTATGGTGGAAATGGGTATATCTTCACATAAAAACTATGCGGAAGCATTCAGAGAATCTTCTCTGCGATGTGTGCATACAACTCACAGAGTTGAAACTTTCTTTTGGTTGAGCAGTTTTGAAACTCTCTTTTTGTAGAATCTGCAAGTGGATATTTGGAGCCCTTTGTGGCCAATGGTGGAAAGGGAAATATTTTCACATAAAAACTACACAAAAGCCAACTGGCAAATGAGGTGGCACTCAAGATGGCCAAGTAGGAACAGCTCTGTTCTACAGCTCCCAGCATGAGTGACACAGAAGATGGGTGATTTCTTCATTTCCATCTGAGATACCTGGTTCATCTCACTAGGGAGTGTCAGAGAGTGGGTGCAGTATAGTGGGTGCAGCGCACCATACATAGGCCAAAGCGGAGTGATGCATTTCCTCACTTGGGAAGTGCACGTGGTCAGGGAGTTCCCTTTCCTAGTCAAATAAAGGGGCGACAGATGGCACTTGGAAAATCAGGTCACTCCCACCCTGATACTGCACTTTTTCAACGGTCTTCAAAAACGGTGCACCAAGAGATTATATCCCACACATGACGCATAGGTTCCTATGTCCACGGTGTCTCACTGATTGCTAGCACAGCAGTCTGTGATCAAACTACAAGGTGGCAGTGAGGCTGGGGGTGGGGCGCCCCCCATTGCCCAGGCTTGCTTAGGTAAACAAAGCTGCTGGAAAGCCCGAACTGGGTGTAGCCCACCACAGCTCTAGGAGGCTTGCCTTCCTCTGTAGGCTCCACCTCTTGGGGCAGGGCACAGACAAACAAAAAGACAGCAGTAACCTCTGCAGACTTAAATGTCCTTGTCTGACAGATTTGAAGACAGCAGTGGTTCTCCCAGCACACAGCTGGAGATCTGAGAACAGGCAGACTGCCTCCTCAAATGGGTACCTGACCCCTGAACCCCGAGCAGCCTAACTGGGAGACAACCCCCAGTAGGGTCAGACTGACATCTCACACGGCCGTATAGTCCTCTGAGACAAAATTTCCAGAGCAAAGATCAGACAGCAGCATTCGTGGTTCACAAAAATCCGCTGTTCTGCAGTCATTGCTGCTGATACCCAGGCAAACAGGATCTGGAGTGGACCTCTAGCAAACTCCAACAGACCTGCAACTGAGGGTCCTGTCTGTTAGAAGGAAAACTAAAAAACAGAAAGGACATCCACAACAAAACCCCATCTGTACATCACCATCATCAAAGACTAAAAGTAGATAAAACCATAAAGATGGGGAAAAAACAGAACAGAAAAACTGTAAACTCTAAAAAGCAGAGTGCCTCTCCTCCTCCAAAGGAATTCAGTTCCTCACCAGCAATGGAACAAAGCTGGACGGAGAATGACTTTGACGAGTTGAGAGAAGAAGGCTTCAGACGATCAATCTACTCTGAGCTACAGGAGGAAATTCAAGCCGAAGGCAAAGAAGTTAAAAACTTTGAAAAAAATTTAGATGAATGTATAACTAGAATAACCAATACAGAGAAGTCCTTAAAGGAACTGATGGAGCTGAAAGCCAAGGCTCCAGAACTACGTGAAGAATGCAGAAGCCTCAGGAGCTGATGCGATCAACTGGAAGAAAGGTTATCAGTGATGGAAGATGAAATGAATGAAATGAAGCGAGAAGGGAAGTTTAGAGAAAAAAGAATAGAAAGAAATGAATAAAGCCTCCAAGAAATATGGGACTATGTGAAAAGACCATATCTATATCTGATTGGTGTACCAGAAAGTGATGTGGAGAATGGAACCAAGTTGGAAAACACTCTGCAGGATATTATCCAGGAGAACTTCCTCAATCTAGCAAGGCAGGCCAACATTCAGATTCAGAAAATACAGAGAACACCACAAAGATACTCCTCGAGAAGAGCAACTCCAAGACACATAATTGTCAGATCCACCAAAATTGAAATGAAGGAAAAAATGTTAAGGGCAGCCAGAGAGAAAGGTTGGGTTACCCTCAAAGGGAAGCCCATCAGACTAACAGCAGATCTCTCGGCAGAAACTCTACAAGCCAGAAGAGAGTGGAGGCCAATATTCAACATTCTTAAAGAAAAGAATTTTCAACCCAGAATTTCATATCCATCCAAACTAAGCTTCATAAGTGAAGGAGAAATAAAATACTTTACAGACAAGCAAATGCTGAGAGATTTTGTCACCACCAGGCCCGCCCTAAAAGAGCTCCTGAAGGAAGCACTAAACATGGAAAGAAACAACCAGTACAAGCCACTGCAGAATCATGCCAAATTGTAAAGACCATTGTGGCTACTAAGAAACTACATCAACCAAGGAGCAAAATAACCAGCTAACATCATAAAGACAGCTCAAATTCACACATAACAATATTAACTCTAAATGTAAATGGACTAAATCCTCCAGTTAAAAGACACAGACTGGCAATTTGGATAAAGAGTCAAGACCCATCAGTGTGCTGTATTCAGAAACACATCTCATGTGCAGAGACATACATAGGCTCAAAATAAAAGGTGGAGGAAGATCTATCAAGCAAACGGAAAACAAAAAAAGACAGGGGTTGCAATCCTAGTCTCTGATAAAACAGACTTTAAACAAACAAAGATCAAAAGAGACAAAGAAGGCCATTACATAGTGGTAAAGGGATCAATTCAACAAGAAGAGCTAACTATCCTAAATATACATGCATCCAATACAGGAGCACCCAGATTCTTAAAGCAAGTCCTGAGTGACCTACAAAGAGACTTAGACTCCCACACCACAATAATGGGAGACTTTAACAACCAACTGTCAATATTAGACAGATCAATGAGACAGAAAGTTAACAAAGATACCCAGGAATTGAACTCAGCTCTGCACCAAGCAGACCTAATAGACATCTACAGAACTCTCCACCTCAAATCGACAGAATATACATTTTTTTCAGCACCACACAACACCTATTCCAAAATTGACCACATACTTGGAAGTAAAGCTCTCCTCAGTAAATGTAAAAGAACAGAAATTATAACAAACTATCTCTCAGACCACAGTGCAATCAAACTAGAACTCAGGATTAAGAAACTCACTCAAAACCGCTCAACTACATGGAAACTGAACAACCTGCTCCTGAGTGACTACTGGGTACATAACAAAATGAAGGCAGAAATAAAGATGTTCTTTGAAACGAATGAGAACATAGACACAACATACCAGAATCTCTGGGACACATTCAAAGCAGTTGGTAGAAGGAAATTTATAGCATTAAATGCCCACAAGAGAAAGCAGGAAAGATCCAAAATTTACACCCTAACCTCACAATTAAAAGAACCAGAAAAGCAAGAGCAAACATATTCAAAAGCTAGCAGAAGGCAAGAAATAAGTAAAATCAGAGCAGAACTGAAGGAAATAGAGACACAAAAACCCTTCAAAAAATTAACGAATCCAGGAGCTGGTTTTTTGAAAGGATCAACAAAATTGATAGACTGCTAGCAAGACTAATAAAGAAGAAAAGAGAGAAGAATCAAATAGACGCAATAAAAAATGATACAGCAGGTATCACCATCATTCCCACAGAAATATGAACTACCATCAGAGAATACTACATACACCTCTACACAAATAAACTACAAAATCTAGAAGAAATGGATAAATTCCTTAACACATACACCCTCTGAAGACTAAACCAGGAAGAAGTTGACTCTCTGAATAGACCAATAACAGGAGCTGAAATTGTGGCAATAATCAATAGCTTACCAACAAAAAAGAGTCCAGGTCTAGATGGATTCACAGCCGAATTCTACCAGAGGTACAAGGAGGAGCTGGTACCATTGCTTCTGAAATTATTCCAATCAATAGAAAAAGAGAGAATCCTCCCTAACTCATTTTATGAGGCCAGCATCGTCCTGATACCAAAGCCGGACAGAGACACAACCAAAAAAGAGAATTTTAGACCAATATCCTTGATGAACATCGATGCAAAAATCCTCAATAAAATACTGGCAAACCGAATCCAGCAGCACATCAAAAAGCTTATCCACCATGATCAAGTGGGCTTCATCCCTGGGATGCAAGGCTGGTTCAATTTATGCAAATCAATAAATGTAATCCAGCATATAAACAGAACCAAAGACAAAAACCACATGATTATCTCAATAGATGCAGAAAAGTCCTTTGACAAAATTCAACAATGCTTCATGCTAAAAACTCTCAATAAATTAGGTATTGATGGGATGTATCTCAAAATAATAAGAACTATCTATGACAAACCCACAGCCAGTATCATACTGAATGGGCAAAAACTGGAAGCATTCCCTTTGAAAACTGGCACAGGACAGGGATGCCCTCTCTCACCACTCCTATTCAACATAGTGTTGGAAGTTCTGGCCAGGGCAATTAGGCAGGAGAAGGAAATAAATTGTATTCAATTAGGAAAAGGGGAAGTCAAATTTTCCCTGTTTGCAGATGACATGATTGTATATCTAGAAAACCCCATTGTCTCAGCCCAAAATCTCCTTAAACTGATAAGCAACTTCAGCAAAGTCTCAGGATACAAAATCAATGTACAAAAATCACAAGAATTCTTATACACAAAAAACAGACAAACAGAGAGCCAAATCATGAGTGAACTCCCATTCGCAATTACTTCAAATAGAATAAAATACCTAGGAATCCAACTTACAAGGGATGTGAAGGACCTCTTCAAGGAGAACTACAAACCACTGCTCAATGAAATAAAAGAGGATACAAACAAATGGAAGAACATTCCATGCTCATGGGTAGGAAGAATCAATATCATGAAAATGGCCATACTGCCCAAGGTAATTTGTATATTCAATGTCATCCCCATCAAGCTACCAATGACTTTCTTCACAGAATTGGAAAAAACTACTTTAAAGTTCATATGGAACCAAAAAAGATCCCACATCACCAAGTCAATCCTAAGTCACAAGAACAAAGCTGAAGGCATTACACTACCTGACTTCGAACTATACTACAAGGCTACAGTAACCAAGACAGCATGGTACTGGTAAGAAGACAGAGATATAGATCAATGGAACAGAACAGAGCCCTCAGAAATAACGCTGCATATCTACAACTATCTGATCTTTGATAAACCTGAACAAAACAAGCAATGGGGAAAAGATTCCCTATTTAATAAATGGTGCTGGGAAAACTGGCTAGCCATATGTAGAAAGCTGAAACTGGATCCCTTCCTTACACCTTATACAAAAATTAATTCAAGATGGATTAAAAAGTTAAACATTAGACCTAAAACCATAAAAATCCTAGAAGAAAACCTAGGCATTACCATTCAGGACATAGGCATGGGCAAGGACTTCATGTCTAAAACACCAAAAGCAACGGCAACAAAAGCCACAATTGATAAATGAGATCTAATTAAACTAAGGAGCTTCTGCACAGCAAAAGAAACTACCATTAGAGTGAACAGGCAATGTTCAAAATGGGAGAAAGTTTTCACCACTGACTCATCTGACAAAGGGCTAATATCCAGAATCTACAATGAACTCAAAGAAATTTACAAGAAAAAAACAATAAACCCCATCAAAAAGTGGGCAAAGGACATGAACAGACACTTCTCAAAAGAAGACATTTATGCAGCCAAAAAACACATGAAAAAATGCTCACCATCACTGGCCATCAGAGGAATGCAAATCAAAACTACAATGAGATACCATCACACACCAGTTAGAATGGCAATAATTAAAAAAATCAGGAAACAACAGGTGTTGGAGAGGATGTGGAGAAATAGGGACACTTTTACACTTTTGATGGGGCTGTAAACTAGTTCAACCATTGTGGAAGTCAGTGTGGCAATTCCTCAGGGATGTAGAGCTAGAAATACAATTTGACCGAGCCATCCCATTACTGGGTATATACTCAAAGGACTATAAATCATGCTGCTATAAAGACACATGCACACGTATGTTTATTGCCGCATTATTCACAATAGCAAAGACTTGGAATCAACCCAAATGTCCAACAATGATAGACTGGATTAAGAAAATGTGACACGTATACACCATGGAATACTACGCAGCCATAAAAAATGATGAGTTCATGTCCTTTGTAGGGACATGGATGAAATTGGAAATCATCATTCTCAGTAAACTATCGCAAGGACAAAAAACCAAACACTGCATATTCTCACTCATAAGCGGGATTTGAGCAATGAGAACACATGGACACAGGAAGGGGAACATCACACTCTGGGGACTGATGTGGGGAAGGGGGATTGGGGAGGAATAGCATTAGGAGATATACCTAATGCTAAATGACGAGTTAATGAGCTCAGCACACCAACGTGGCACATGTACACATATGTAACAAACCTGCACAATGTGCACATGTACCCTAAAACTTAAAGTATAATAATAATAAAATAAAATAAATTAAAAAAAACTACACAGCAGTACTCTGAGAAACTTCTTTGTGATGTGTGCACTCAACTCTCAGAGTTGAACATATCTTTTGATTGAACGGTTTTGAAAATATCTTTTTGTAGAATCTGGAAGTGGATATATGGAGCCCTTTGTGGCCTATGGTGCAAAAGGAAATATCTTCACATAAAAATTACACAGAAGCGTTCTGAGAAATTTCTTGGTTATGTGTGTATTCATCTCACAGAGTTGAACATTTATTTTGATTGTGCAGCTTGAAACACTGTTTTTGTAGAATCTGCAAGTGGATATTTGGAGCGCTATGTGGCTTATTGTGGAAAAGGAAATATCTTCACATAAAAACTTCACGGAAGTATTCTGAGAAACTTCTTTGTTATGTGTGTATTCAACTCACAGAGTTGAACCTGTCTTTTGAGAGAGCAATTTTGAAACTCTCTTTTTGTAGAATCTGCAAGTGGATATATGGAGCCCTTTATGGCCTATGGTGTAAAAGGAAATCTCTTCACAAAAAAAACTACTCAGAAGCATTCTGAGAAACTTCTTTGTGAAGGGTGCATTCATCTCACAGACTTGAACCTTTCTTTTGATTGAGCAGTTTGGAAACTTTTTTTGTAGAATCTGCAAGTGGATATTTGGAATGCTTTGGGGACTATTGTGGAAAAGGAAATATCTTCACATAAAAACTACACAGAAGCATTCTGAGAAGTTTCTTTGCAATGAGTGCATTCATGTGACAGAGTTGAAACTTTCTTTTGTTTAAGCAGTTTGGAAACACTCTTTTTGTAGAATCTGCAAGTGGATATTTGGAGCCCTTTGAGGCTTATGGTGGAAAAGGAAATATCTTCAGATAAACACTACACAGAATCATTCTGAAAAACTGCTTTGTGATGTGTACATTCATCTCACAGAGTTGAACCTTACTTTTGATTGAGCAGTTTGAAACGCTCTTTTTGTGGAATGTGAAAGTGGATATTTGGAGTGCTTTGAGGCCTACGGTGGAAAAACTACAAAGAAGGATTCTGAGAAACTTCTCTGTGATGTGTGCATTCAACTCACAGAGTTGAACATATCTGTGGATTGAGCAGCTTTGAAACTGCATATTTGTGCAATCTGCAATTGGATATTTTGAGCCCTTTGTGGCCTATGTTGGAAAAGGAAATATCTTCAGATAAAAACTACACAGAAGCATTCTGAGAAACTTCTTTGTGATGTGTACATTCATCTCACAGAGTAGAACCTTTCTTTTGATTGAGCAGTTATGAAATACACTTTTTGTAGAATGTTCAAGTGGATATTTGGAGGGCTTTGAGGCCTATTGTGAAAAAGTTAATATCTTCACATAAAAACTACTCAGAATCATTCTGAGAAACTTCTTTGTGATCTGCGAATTCATCTGAAAGACTTCAACATTTCTTTTGTTTGGGCAGTACGGAAATACTCTTTTTATAGAATCTGCAAGTGAATATTTGGAGAGATTTGAGGCCTATGGCTGAAACAGAAATATCTTTACATAAAAACTACACAAAAGCATTCTGCGAAACTTCTTTGTGATGCGTGCATTCAACTCACAGAGCTAAACCTAACTTTTGATTGACCAGTTTTGAAACTCTCTTTTGTAGAATCTGCAAGGGGATATTTGGAGTGCTTTGAGGCCTATTGTGGGAAAGGGAATATCCTCACATAAAAACTACACAGAAACATTCTGAGAAATTTCTTTGTGATGTGTGCATTCATCTCACGGAGTTGAATATTTATTTTGATTGTGCAGCTTGGAAACCCTTTTTGTAGAATCTGCAAGTGGATATTTGGAGCACTATGTGGCCTATTGTGGAAAAGGAAATATCTTCACATAAAAACTTCACAGAAGCATTCTGAGAAACTTCTTTGTTATGTGTGTATTCAACTCACGGAGTTGAACCTATCTTTTGATACAGCAGTTTTGAAACTCTCTTTTTGTCGAATCTGCAAGTGGATATTTGGAGCCCTTTGTGGCTTATGGTGTAAAAGGAAATATCCTCACATAAAAACTACACAGAAGGATCCTGAGAAACTACTTTGTGATGTTTGCATTCATCTCACAGAGTTGAACTTATCTTTTGATTGTTCAGTTTGGAAACACTCTTTTAGTAGAATCTGCAGGTGGATATTTGGAGGGTTTTGAGTCCTATGGTGGTAAAGGAAATGTCGTCACATGAAAAATACACAGAGGCATTCTGAGAAACTTCTTTGTGACATGTGGATTCACCTCCCAGAGTTGAACCTATCTTTTGATTAAGAAGTTTTGAAACTCTATTTTGTAGCACCTGCAAGTGGATATTTGGAGCCATTTGTGGCCTATGGTGCAAAAGGAAATATCTTCACATAAAAACTACACAGAATCATTCTGAGAAACTTCTTTGTCATGAGAGCATTCATCTCACAGAGTTGAACCTATCTTTTCAAAGAGCAGCTTTGAATCTCTCTTTTTGTAGTATCTGCAAGAGGATATTTGTAGCCCTTTGCAGCATATGGCAGAAAAGGAAATATCTTCAAATAAATACTACACAGAACCATTCTGAGAAACTTATTTGTGGTGTATGCATTCATCCCACAGACTTGAAACTATCTTATGATTGAGCAGTTTTGAAACACTCTCTTTGTAGAATCTGAAAGTGGATACTTGGAGTGCTCTGGGTCCTATTGTGGAAAAGGAAATATCTTCACATAAAAACTACACAGAGGGATTCTGAGAAACTACTTTGTGCTGTGTACATTCATCTCACAGAGTTGAACATTTCTTTTGATTGAGCAGTTTTTGAAACACTGTTTTTGTAGAATCTGCAAGTGGATACTTGGAGCGCTTTGAGGCCTACTGTGGAAAAGCAAATATCTTCACATAAAAACTACACAGAGGCATTCTGAGAAAATTATTTGTGATGTGTGCATTCATCTCACAGAGTTGAAATTTCTTTTGATATAGCAGTTTTGAAACACTGTTTTTGTGGATCAGAAAGTGGATATTTGGAGTGCTTTGAGGCCTATTGTAGAAAAGGAAATAATTTCACATAAAAACTACACTGAAGCATTCTGACAAACTAATGTGTGATGAATGCATTCATCACACAGAGTTGAACATTTCTTTTGACTGAGCAGTTTTAAAACACTCTTTTTGTAGGATCTGAAAGTCGATATTTGGAGGGCTTTGAGGTCTATTTTGGAAAGGGAAATATCTTCAAATAAAAAATGCACAGAAGCATTCTGAGAAACTACTTTGTCATGTGTGCATTCAACTCACATAGTTGAACATATCTTATGATTGAACAGTGTTGAAACACACTTTTTGTAGAATGTGCAAGTGGATATTTGGAGTGCTTTGAGTCCTATTGTGGAAGAGGAAATATCTTCACATGAATAGTATGGAGAAGTATTCTAAGAAACTTCTTTGTGATGAGTGCATTCATCACACAGTTTTGAACTTTTCTTTTGATTTAGCAGTTTGGAAACTCTCTTTTTGTAGAATCTGCAAGTGGATATTTGGAGGGATTTTAGGCCTATTTTGGAATAGAAAGTATCTTCACATAACAACTACACAGAAGCATTCTGAGAAACTTCTTTGTGATGTGTACATTCAACTCACAGAGTTAAACTTATATTTTGATTGAGCAGTTTTGAATCTCACTTTTTTTATTATCTGCAAGTGGATATTTGGAGCCCTTTGCAGCCTACGGTGGAAAAGGAAATATCTTCAAATAAAAACTACACAGAAGCATTCTGAGAAACTTCTATGTGATGTGTTCCTTAATATCACAGAGTTGAACCTATCTTATTATTGAGCAGTTTGAAAACACTCTTTTTGTAGAATCTGCAAGAGGATATTTGGAGCACTTTGAGGCATATGGTGTAAAAGGAAATATCTTCACATAAAAAACACACAGAACCATTCTGAGAAACTTCATGGTGATGTGGGCATTCATCTCCCAGAGTTGAAACTTTCTTTTGATTGAGCAGCTTAGAAACACTGTTTCTGTAGAATCTGCAAGTGGATATTTGGAGCCCTTTTTTTCTTATGGTGGTCAAGGAAATATCTTCACATAGAAACTACACAGAATCATTCTGAGAAACGTCACTGTGATGTGTGCATTCATCTCACAGAGTTGAACCTATGTTATGGTTTAGCAGTTTTCAAACATTCTCTTAGAAGAATCTGCAAGTGGATCCGTGGAACGATTTGAGGCATATTGTGGAAAAGGAAATATGTTCACATAAAAACTACACAAAAGCCTTCTGAGAAAGTTCTTTGTGATGTGTGCATTCAACTCACAGAGTCTAATCTGTCTTTTGATTGAGCAGTTTTGAAATACTGTTTTTGTAGAATCTGCAAGTGGATATTTGTTGGGCTTTGAGGCCTATTTTGTAAGAGGAAATATCCTCCCATAAAAACTACACAGAAGCATTCTGAGAAACTTCTTTGTGACGTGTGCATACAACTCACATTCTTGAACCTATCTTTTGATTGAGCAGTTTTGGAACTCTCTTTTTCTAGGATCTGCAAGTAGATACTTGGAGCCCTTTGCCGTGCATGGAGGCAAAGGAAACATCTTCAAATAAAAACTACACAAAAGCATTCTGAGAAACTTCTTTGTGATGTGTGCATTCAACTCACAGAATTGAACTTATCTTTTGCTTGAGCAGTTTTGAATGTCTCCTTTTGTAGAATCTGCGAGTGGATATTTGGAGCCCTTTGCAGCCAATTGAGAAAAAGGAAATATCTTTAAATAAAAACTACAGAGAAGCATTCTGAGAAACTTCTTTGTGATGTGTACATTCAACTCACAGAGTTGAACCTATCTTTTGATTGAGCAGTTTTGAATTTCGCTTTTTGTAGAATCTGCAAGTGGATTTTTGAAGCCCTTTGCAGTCTATGGAGGAAAAGGAAATATCCTGAAATAAATACTACAGAGAAGCATTCTGAGAAACTTCTTTGTGATGTGTGCATTCATCTTATAGATTTGAACCTATCTTATTATTGAGCAGTTTTGAAACACTCTCTTTGTAGAATCTGCAAGTGGATACTTGGAGGGATTTCAAGCCTGCTGTGGAAAAGGAAATATCTTCACACAAAAACTACACAGAAGCACTCTGAGCAACTTCTTTGGCATGTGTGTATTCATCTCATAGAGATGAACCTTTCTTTTGATTGTGCAGTTTTGAAACACTGTTTTTGTAGAATCTGCAACTGGATATTTGGAGCCCTTTGCAGCCTATATTGGAAAAGGAAATATTTTCAGATAGAAACTACACAGATGCATTCTGAGAAAATTCTTTGTGATGTGTGCATTCATCTCACAGAGTTTAACCTTTCTTTTGAATGAGCAGCTTGGAACCCCTCTTTTTGTAGAATCTTCAAGTGGATATTTGGTGTGCTTTGAGGCCTGTAGTGGAAAGGGAATATCTTCACATAAAAACTAAGCAAAAGCATTCAGAGAAACTTCTTTGTGATGTGTGCATTCAACTCACAGGGTATAAACTATCTTTTGATTGAACAGTTTTGAATCTCACTTTTTGTGGAATCTGCAAGTGGATATTTGGAGCCCGTTGTGGCCTATGGTGGAAAAGGAAATATCTTCACATAAAAACTACATAGAAGAATTCTGAGAAATTTCTTTGTGATGTGTGTTTTCATCTCACAGTGTTGAACTTTTCTTTTGTTGAGCAGTTTGGAAAAACCCTTCAGGAGAATCAGAAAGTGGATACTTGGATGGCTTTGGGGCTTATTATGGAAAAGCAAATATCTTCATGTAAACACTACCCAGAAGCATTCTGAGAATGTTATTTGTGATGTGTGCCTTCATCTCACAGAGTTGAAGCTTTCTTTTGATTGATCAGTGTTGAAAGAGTCTTTTTGTAGATTCTGCAAGTGGATACTTCGAGGGCTTTGAGTCCTATTTTGGAAAAGGAAATATCTTCACAAAAAAACTACACAGAAGCCTTCTGAGAAACTTCTTTGCAATGTGTGCATTCATCTCACAGAGTTGAACATTTCTTTTTATTGAGCACTTTTGAACCACTCTTTTTGTAGGATCAACAAGTGTATATTTGGAGCCCTTTGCAGCCTATGGTGGAGAAAGGAAATATCTTCACATAAAATCTACAGAGAAGGGTTCTGTGAAACTTCTTTGTGATGTGTGCATTCATCTCACAGATTTGAAACTTTCTGTTGATTCAGCAGTTTTGAAACACTCTTTTTGTAGAATCTGCAGTTGGATATTCGGAGCACTTTGAGGCCTATTGTGGCAAAGGAAATATCTTCACATAAAAACTACACAGAAGCATTCTGAGAAACTATATTGTGATGTGTGCATTCATCTCACAGAGTTGAGCCTATCTTTTCACTGAGCACTTTTGAATCTGTCCTTTTGTAGGATCTGCAAGTGTATATTTGGAGACCTCTGTGACCTATGGTGGAAAAGGAAATATCTTCAAAAAAATACATAGAAGCATTCTGAGAAAATTCTTTGTGATGTTAGCATTCATCTAACAGAGTTGAACGTTTATTTTTATTGAGCAGTTAGGAAACACTCTTTTTGTAGAATCTGCAAGTGGATATTCGGACCGCTTTGAGGCCTTTGGTGGAAAAGGAAATGTGTTCATTTAAAAACCACACAGAAGCATTCTGAGAAACTTCTTTGTGATATGGGCATTCAACTCACGTAGCTGAACCATTCTTTTGACAGAGGAGTTTTCAAACTTTCATTTGGTAGTATATGCAAGTGGATATTTGGAGCACTTTGAGGCCTATTGAGGAAAAGGAAATAACTTTAAATAAAAACTACACAGAATCATTCTGATAAACTTCTTTGTGCTGTGTATATTTATCTCACAGAGTTGAAACTTTATTTTGATTGAGCAGATTTGAAACACTGGCTTTGTAGAATCTGCAAGTGGATATTTGGAGTGATTTGAGGTCTATGGTGTAAAAGGAAATATCTTCACATAAAAAGTACACAGAAGCATTCTGAGAAACTCTTTGTGATGTGTGCGTTCAACTCACAGAGTTGAACTTATCTTTGGATTGAGCAGTTTTGAAACTTTCCTTTGTAGAATCTGCAAGTGTATATTTGGAGCCCGTTTTGGCTTGCGGTATAAAAGGAAATATCTTCACATAAAAACTACACAGAAGCATTCTGAAAAAACTTCTTTGTGACGTGTGCATTCATCTCACAGTGTTGACCCTGTCTTTTGATTGAGCAGATTTGAATCACTATTTTCGTAGAATCTGCAAGTGGATATTTGGAGCCCTTTGCAGCCTACGGTGGAAAAGGAAACATCTTAACACAAAAACTATACAGAAGCATTCTGAGGAACTTCTTTGTGATGTGTACATTCATCTAACAGAGTTGAACCTTTGCTTTGATAGAGCAGTTTTGAAAAACTCTTTTTGTAGAATCTGCAAGTGGATATTTGCAGTGCTTTGAGGCTTATTGTGGCAAAGGAAATATCTTCACATAGAAACTACACAGTAGAATTCTGTCAAACTTCTTTGTGATGTGTGCATTGAAGTCACAGAGTTGAAACTTTCTTTTGATTGATCAGTTTGGAAATATTCTTTTTGTAGAAACTGCAAGTGGATATGTGGAGCCTTTTGCGGCCTAAGGTGGAAAAGGAAATATCTTCACATAAAAACTACACAGAAGCAATCTGACAAACTATCTTGTGATGTGTGCATTCATCTGACAGAGTTGAACCTTTCTTTTGATTGAGCAGTTTTGAAACACTCTTTTGTAGAATCTGCAAGTGGATCTTTGGAGAGCTTTGAGACCTATTGTGGAAAAGAAAATATCTTCACATAAAAACTACAAAGAAAGTGTCTGACATACTTTTTGCAATGTGTGCATTCATTTCACCTTTCTTTTGATTGTGCAGTTTGGAAATACACTTTTAGTGCAATCTGCAAGCGGATATTTGCAGTGCTATGAGGCATATTGAGGAAAAGGAAATATCTTCCCATAAAAAATACCCAGAAGAATTCTGAGAAACGTATTTGTGATGTGTGCATTCAACTCACGGAGTTGAACCTATCTTTCGATAAGCAGTTTTGAAACTCTCTTTTTTTGGAATCTGCAGGTGGGTATTTGGAGCGCTTTGAGGCCTATTGTGTAAAAGGAAATATCTTCACATAAAAACTACACAGAAGCATTCAAAGAAACTTCTTTTTGATGTGTGCATTCAACTCACAGAGTTGAACTTATCTTTTTATTGAGGAGCTTTGAAAATCTCTTTTTGTAGAATCTACAAGTGGATATTTAGAGCCCCTTGCTGCCTGTGGTGGAAAAAGAAATATCTTCACATAAAAACTACACAGAATCATTATGAAAAACGTATTGGTGATGTGTGCATTCATCTCACAGAGTTTAACATTTCTTTTGATTGATCTGTTTAGAAACACTATTTTTGTAGAACCTGCAAGTGGATATTTGGAGCCTTTTGAGTCCTGTGTTGGAAAAGGAAATATCTTTACATAAAAACTACACGGAAGCATTCTGAGAAACTTCTTTGTGATGTGTGCATTCATCTCACAGAGTTGAACATTTCTTTTGATTGGGCAGTTTTGAAACACTCTTTTTTATAGGATCTGCAACTGGATATTTGGAGTGCTTTGAAGCCTATCATGAAAAGGAAATATATTCACATGAAAACAACACAGAAACATTCTGACAAACTTCTTTGCGATGTGTGCGTGCATCTCGCAGAGTTGAACTTTTCGTTTTATTGAGCAGTTTTCAAAAACTGTTTTTGTAGTATCTCTAACTGGACATTTGGAGCGCATTGAGGTCTATGGTGGAAAAGGATATATCTTCACATAACAGCTACACAGAAGCATTCTGAGAAACTTCTTTCTGATGTGTGCATTCAAATCACAGATTTGAATCTATCTTTTGATTGCACAGTTTTCAAACTCTCTTTTTGTAGAATCTGCAAGTGGATATTTGGAGTCCTTTGTGGCCTCTGGTGGAAAAGGAAATATCTTCACATAAAAACTACACAAAAGCATTCTGAGAAACTTCATTTTCATGTGTTCATTCATCTGAGAGAGTTGAACTTATCTTTTCACCAAGCAGTTTTGAAACAGTCTTTTTGTAGAATCTGCAAGTGGATATTTGGAGCCCCTAGAGGCCTACTGTGGAAAAGAAAATATCTTTACATAAAAACAACACAGATGCATTCTGAGAAACTTCTTTGCAATGTGTGCATTCATCTCACAGAGATCAACTTTCTTTTGATTGAGCAATTTTGAAACACACTTTTTGTAGAATCTGCAAGTAGATATTTGGAGTACGTTGAGGCCTATGGTGGAAAAGGAAATATCTTCACATAAAGCTACACAGAAGCATTCTGAGAAACTTCTTTGCGACATGTTCGTTCAACACACTGTGGTGAACATTTCTTTTGATTGAGCAGTTTTGAAACCCACTATTTGTAGAATCTGCAAGTGGATATTTTTAGTGCTTAGAGACCTATTGTGGAAAAGGAAATGTCTTCAAATAAAAGCTACACGGAAGCATTCTGAGAAACTTCTTTGTGATTTGTTCATTCACCTCACAGATTTGTAACTTTCTTTTGATTGAGCAGTTTGGAAACACTCTTTTAGTAAAATCTACAAGCAGATACTTGGAGCGCTTTGAGGCCTATTGTAGAAATGGAAATATCTTCACATAAAAACTAAACAGAAGCATTCTGAGAAACTTCTTTGAGATGTGTGTTGAACTCAGAGTTGTACCTATCTTTTGATAGACGAGTTTTGAAACTCTCTTTATGTGGAATCTGCTAGTGAATATTTGGAGCCCTTTGTGGCCTATGGTGTAAAAGGAAATACCTTCACATAAAAACTGCACAGAAGCTTTCTGAGAAACTTCTTTGTGATTTGTGCATTCATCTCAAGGAGATGAACCTTTAATTTGATTGAGCCGTTTTGAAACACTCTTTTTGTAGAATCTGCAAGTGGATATTTGGAGCACTTTGTGGCCTATAGTGGAAAAGGATGCATATTCACATAAAAACTAGACAGAACCATTCTGAAAAACTTCTTTGTGATGTGTGCATTCATCTCAAGGAGTTCAACCTTTCTTTTGATTGAGCACTTTTGAAATACTCTTTTTGGAGTATCTGTAAGTGGATATTTGGAGCTCTTTGAGTCCTATGGTGGTAAAGGAAACATCTTCACATAAAAACGACACACAAGCATTCTGAAATACCTCTTTGTGATGTTTGCATTCATCTCACATAGTTGAACCATTCTTTTGATTGAGCAGTTTTGAAACACTCTCTTTGTAGAATGTGCAAGTGGATATTTGGACCGCTTTGATGAGTATGGTGGTAAATGAAAAATCTTCACATAAAAACTAGACAGAATTACTCTGAGAAACTTCTTTGTGATGTGTGCATTCATCTCACAAATTTGAAAATTTCTTTTGATTGAGCAGTTTTGAAACGCTCTTCTTCTAGAATCTGCCAGTGGATATTTGGAGTGCATTGAGTCCTATGGTGGAGAAGGAAATATCCTCACATAAAAACTAGAGAGAAGCATTCTGAGAAACTTCTTTGTTATGTGTGCATACATCTCATGGAGTTGAAACTTTCTATTGATTTAGCATTTTTTAAACACTGTTTGTAGGATATGCAGTTGATATTTGGAGCCCATTGGGGCCAATGGTGGAAAAGGATTATCTTCTCATAAAAACTAGACAGAAGCATTTTGAGCAACTTCTTTGTGATGTGTTCGTTCATCTCACAGATTTGAACCATTCTTTTGATTCAGCAGTTTTGAAGCACTCTTCGTAGAATCTGCAAGTGCATATTTAGATCGCTTTGAGGCATGTGGTGGAAAAGGAAATATCTTCACATAAACACTAGACAGAAGCATTCTGAGAAACGTCTTTGTGATGTGTCCATTCATTTCACAGAGTTGAAACTTTCTTTTCATTGAGCAGTTTTGAAACACTCTTTTTATAGAACATGCAAGTGGATATTTGGAGCGCTTTGGAGAGAATGGTGGAAATGGAAATATCTTCACATAAAAACTACGGAGAAGCATTCGGAGAAACGGCTTTGTTATGTGTGACTTCAGCTCACACAGTTGAACCTTTCTTTTGATTGAGCATTTTTGATTCCCTCTTTTTGTAGAATCTGCAAGTGGATATTTGGAGAGCTTTAGGGCCTACGGTGGAAAAGGAAATATCTTCACATAAAAACTACACAAAAGCATTTTGAGAAACTTCTTTCTGATGTGTGCATACAACTCACAGAGTTGAAACTTTCTTTTGATTGTGCAGTTTTGAAACACTTCTTTTGTAGAATCTGCAAGTGGATATTCGGAGGGCTTTTCTGAGTATAGTGGAAAAGGAAATAACTTTGGATAAAAGGTAGACAGAAGCATTCTGAGAAACTTCTTTGTGATGTGTACATTGAACTTACAGAGTCGAACCTTTCTTTAGATTGGGCAGTTTTGAAACACTATTTTTGTAAAATCTGCAAGTGGATATTTGGTGACCATTGCAGCCTATGGTGGGAAAGCAAATATCTTCACATAAAAACTAGACAGAAGCATTCTGAGAATCTTCTTTGTGATGTGTGCATTCACCTCAGAGTTGAAACTTTTTCTATTGAGGAGTTTTGAAACACTCTTTTTGTAGAATATGCAAGTGGGTGTTTGGAGCACTTTGTGGCCTATAGTGGAAAAGAATCTATATTCACATAAAAACTAGACAGAAGGATTCTGAAAAACTATTTTGTGATGTGTGCATTCATTGCAAAGAGTTGAACCTTTCTTTTGATTGAGCAGTTTTGAAACACTCTTTTTGTAGAATCTGTAAGTCGATATTTGGAGCGTTTTGAGGCCTATGGTGGTAAAGGAAATATCTTCACATAAAAACTGCACAGAAGCATTCTGAGAAACTTCTTTGTGATGTGTGCATTCATCTCACAGGGTTGAACCTTTCTTTTGTTTGAACAGTATTCAAACACTGTTTTTGTAGAATCTGCAATTCGATATTTGGAGAGATTTGAGGCCTATGTTGGTAAAGGAAATATCTTCAAATAAAATCTGGACAGCAGCATTCTTAGAAACTACTTTGTGATGTGTGCATTCAACTCACAAAGATCGTATCTTTGAGGAGGTTGGAAACATTCTTTTTGTAGCACCTGCAAATGTATATTTGGAGTGCTTTGAGGTCTATATTGGAAAAGGAAATATCTTCACATGAAAACCAGACAGAAGCATTCTTAGAAACTCTTTTATGATGCATGTATTTATGACACACAATTCAACATTTCTTTTCATTGAGCAGTTTTGAAACACTTTTTTGTGGAATCTGCAATTGGATATTTGGAACGCTTTGCCTCCTATAGTGGAAAAGGAAATATCTTCACATAAAAACTAGACAGAAGCATTCTGGGAATCTTCTCTGTGACGAGTGCATTCATTTCACTGGGTTGAACATTTCTTTTGATTAAGTAGTTTTGAAACACTCTTTTTGTAGAATCAGCAGGTGGATATATGGAACGCTTTGAGACCTATGGTGGAAAAGGAAATATCTTCACATAAACACTACACAGAAGCATTCTGAGAAACTTCTTTATGATGTGTGCAATCATCTCACAGAGTTGAAACTTTGTTTTGATAGAGCAGTTTTCAAACACACTTTTTGTAGAATCTGTAAATAGATATTTGGAGTGATTTGTTGCCTATGACAGAGGAAATATCTTCACATAAAAACTAGACAGAAGCATTCTGAGAAACTTCTTTGTGATGTGTGTATTCATCTTACACAGTTGAAACTTTCTTTTGATTCAGCAATTTTTAAACACTCTTTTTGAAGAATATGCAAGTGGATATTTGAAGCGCTTTGTGGCCTATAGTGGAAAATTTTATATCTTCAAATAAAAACTAGACAGAAGCATTCTGAGAAACTTCTTTGGGATATGTGCATTCATCTCACAGACTTGAAACTTTGTTTTGATTTAGCACTTTAGAAACACCCTTTTGTAAAATCTGCAAGTGGATATTTGGAGTGCTTTGCATCCACTAGTGGAAAAGGAAATACCTTCACACAGAAACAAGACAGAAGCATTCTGAGAAACCTGTTTGTGATGTGAGCGTTCCTCTCACAGAGTTGAACCTTTCTTTTGATTGAGCAGTTTTGAAACACACTTTTTGTTGAATCTGCAAGTGGATATTTGGAGAGCCTTGGAGCCTATTGTGGAATAGGAAATATCTTCACATAAAAATTGCACAGAGGTATTCTGAAAAACTTCCTTCTGATGTGCACATTCAGCTCAGCGAATTGAACCTTTCCTTTGATTGAGCAGTTTTGAAACACTCTTTTGTAGAATCTTCAATTGGATATTTGAAGTGCTTTCTGGCCTCAAGTGGAAAAGGAAATATCTTCACATAAAAAATAGACAGAAGCACTCTGCAAAACATCTTTGCGATGTGTGCATTCTTCTCACAGAGTAGAACTTTTCCTTTGATTGAGCAGTTTTGAAACACTCTTTTTGTAGAATCTGTAAGTGGATATTTGGAGCGCTTTCAGTCCTACAGTGGTAAAGGAAATATCTTCTCATTAAAAATAGACAGAAGCATTCTGAGAAACTTTTTTGTGATGTGTGCCTTCATCTCACAGGTTTGAACCTTTCTTTTGATTGAGCAGTTTTGAAACACACTTTTTGTAGAATCTGAAGGTGGATATTTGGAGTGCTTTGGGTCCTAAGGTATAAAGGAAATATTTTCAAATAAAACTAGACAGAAGCATTCTGAGAAACGACTTTGTGATGCGTGCATTCATCTCACAGAGTTGAACTTTCTTTTGATTGAGTAGTTTTGAAACACATATTTGTAGACTCTACCAGTGGATATTTGGAGTGCTTCGGGGCCTACGGTGGAAAAGGAAATATCTTCACATAAAAACTAGAGAGAAGCATTCTGAGAAACTTCTTTGTGATGTGTGCATTCAACTAACACAGTTGAATCCTTGTTTTGATTGAGGAGTTTTGAAACGCTCTTTTTGTAGAATCTGCTAGTGGATATTTGGAGCGCTTTGTGGACTACAGTTTAAAAGGGAATATCTTCACCTAAAAACTAGACAGAAGTATTCTGAGGTACTTCGTTGTAATGTGTGCATTCAACAAACAGAGTTGAAACTTTCTTTTGATTGAGCAGTCTGGAAACACTCTTTTTAAAGAATCTGAAAGTGGATATTTGGAGCGCTTTGCAGCCTATTGTGGAAAAGGGTATATCCTCAAATAAAAACTAGACAGAAGCATTCTGAGAAACTTCTTTGTGAGATGTGGATTCATCTCACAGACTTGAACCTTTCTTTCGATTGAGCAGTTTTGAAACACTCTTTTTGTAGAATCTGCAAGGGATATTTGAAGTGCTTTGAGTCCTAATGTGGAACAGGAAATATCTTCACATAAAAACTACACAGAAGCATTCTGATAATCTTCTTTCTGATGTGTGCATTCATCTCACAGAGCTGAAACTTTCTTTTGATTCAGCAGTTTAGAAATACTCTGTTTATGGAATCTGCTTGTGGATTTTTGGAGCACTTTGAGGAGTCTGGTGGAAAAGGAAATATCGTCACATGAAAACTAGACAAAAGCATTCTGAGAAAATTCTTTGTGATGTGCGCATTCAACTCACAGAGTTGAACCTTTCTTTTGATTGAGCAGTTTGGAAACACTCTTTCTGTAGAATCTGAAGGAGATATTTGGAGCACTTTGTGGCCTATGGTGAAAAAGGAAATATCTTCACATAAAAACTAAACAGAAGCATTCTGAGAAAGTGCTTTGTGATGTGTGCATTCATCTCACAGAGTTAAACCTTTCTTTTGATTGAGCAGTTTTTAAACACTCTTATTGTAGAATCTGCAAGTGGTTATTTGGAGAGTTTGAGGCCACTGGCGGAAAAGCAAATATCTTCACATAAAAACTAGACAGAACCATTCTGAGAAATCTCTTTGAGATGCGTGTATTCAACTCACAGAGTTGGAACTTTCATTTCATTGAGCAGATTGGATAAAGTCTTTTTGCAATATCTGCAAATGGATATTTGGAGCACTTTCAGGCCTATAGTAGGAAAGGAAATATCTTCACATAAAAACTAGACAGAAAATTACTGAGAAACTTCTTTGTGATGTGTGCATTCATCTCACAGAGTTGAAATTTTATTTTGATTGAGCAGTTTGGAAACACTCTTTTAGTAGAAACTGCAAGGGGATATTTGGAGTGCTTTGAGGTCTATGGTAGAAAAGGATATATCTTCACATAAAAAATAGACAGAAGCATTCTGAGGAACTTCTTAATGATGTGTGCATTCGTCTCACAGAGTTGAACTTTTCTTTTGATTGAGAGCTTGAAAAACTCTTTCTGCAGAACCTGCACGTTGATATTTGGAGTGCTTTGAGGCCTACAGTGGAAAAGGAAATATATTCACATAAAACTAGACAGAAGCATTCTGAGAAACTTCTTTGTGATATGTGCACTCATGTCACAGCGTTGAACCTTTCTTTTGTTTGAGCACTTTTGAAACTCTCTTTCTGTAGGATCTTCAAGTGGATATTTTTAGCACTTTGAGGCCTATGGTGGAAAAGGAAATATCTTCACATAAAAACTGGACAGAAGCATTCTGAGAAACTTCTTTGTGATGTGTGCATTCAACTCATGTAGTTGAACCTTTCTTTTGATTCAGCAGTTTGGAAACAGTCTTTTTGTAGTATCTGCAAATGGATATTTGGAGAGCTTTTAGGCCTATAGTGGAAAAGGAAATATCTTCACATAAAAACTAGATAGAAGCATTCTGAGAAACTTCTTTGTGATGTTTGCATTCAACTCACAGAGTTGAACCTTTCTTTTGATTCAGCAGTTTGGAGAAAGTGTTTTTGTAGTGTCTTTAAATTGATATTTGGAGAGCTTTAGGCCTATGGTGGAAAAGGAAATATCTTCACATAAATACTAGACAGAAGTACTCTGAGAAAATTCTTTGTGATGTGTGCTTTCATCTCACAGAGTTTAACCGTTGTTTTGATTGAGCAGTGTTGAAACACTCTTTATAGAATCAGCAAGTGGATATTTGTTGCGCTTTGAGGCCTATGGTGGAAAAGGAAATATCTTCACAGAAAAACCACAAAGAAGAATTCTGAGAAACTTCTTTGTGGTGTGTGGTTTCATCTCTCATATTTGAACCTTTCTCTTTATTGAGCAGTTTGGAAACAAACTTTTTGTAGTATCTGCAAATGGATTTTTGGAGCTCTTTGAGGCCTGTGGTGAAAAAGGAAGTATCCTCACATAAAAACCAGACAGAAGGATTCTTAGAAACTGCTTTGTGATGTGAGCATTAATGTCACAGATTTGAAACTTTCCTTTGATTGAGCAGTTTTGAAACACTCTTTGTGTAGAATCTGCAAGTGGATATTTGGAGCACTTTGAGCCCTATGGTGGAATAGGAAATATCTTCACATTAAAACAGAAGAGAAGCATTCTGAAAAACTTCTTTGTGATGTGTGCATTCATTTTACAGAGTTAAACTATTCCTTTGATTGAGCAGTTTTCCAACTGTAGAATCTACATTGGGATATTGGTGAACCCATTGATGCTTGTGGGGCGATAGGAAATATCTTCATATAAAAACTAGAGATAAGCTTCCTTAGAACCTTCTTTGTGATGTATGCATTCATCTCACAGAGTTGAACCTTTCTTTTGATTGAGAAGTTTGGAAACAGTCTTTTTTGGAATCTGCAAACAGATACTTTCTTTGCTTTGAGGCCTATGGTGGAAAAGGAAATATATTCACATAAAAACTAGACAGAAGCATTCTGAGAAACTTCTTTATCATGTGTGCATTCATTTCACAGAGTTGAATCTTTCTTTTGATTGAGCAGTTTTGAAAACTCTTTTTGTAGAATCTGCAAGTCGATATTTGGAGCGTTTTGCATCCTATAGTGGAAAAGGTAATATCTTCACATAGAAACTAGACAGAAGCATTCTGAGAAACTTCTTTGTGATATGTGCATTCATCTCACAGGGTTTAACTTTCTTTTTATTGAGCAGTTTGGAGCCCGTAATTTTGTAGAATCTGTGAAGGGGTATTTTTGTTCCCATTGAGGCTTATGGGGTAATAGGAAATATATTCACATAAAAACTAAACAGAAAATTTCTGAGAAAATTATTCGTGATATGTGCTTTCATCTCACAGAGTTGAAACTTTCTTTTGATTGCACAGTTTGGAATCAGTCTTTTTGTAGAATCTGCAAGTGGATATTTGGAATGCTTTGAGACCTATGGTGAAAAAGGAAATATCTTCACATAAAAAATATGAAGAAGCATTCTGAGAAACTTCTTTGTCATGTGTGCATTAATATCGCAGACTTGAACCTTTGTATTGATTGAGCAGTTTGGAAACAGTAGTTTTGTAGAATCTGTATAGGGATATTTTTCAGCCCACTGAGGCCTCTGGGGAAATAGGAAATATCTTCAGATAAGAACTAGACAGAAGCATTCTGAGAAACTTCCTTCTGATGTGTGCATTCATTTCACAGAGTTGAACCTTTCTTTTGATTGAGCAGTTTGGAAACAGTCTTTCTGCAGTATCTGCAAATGGATAACTGGAGTGCTTTGAGGCATACGTTTAAAAAGGAAAAATAAAAGAAACAACCAACCCCTTCAAAAAGTGGGTGAAGGACACGAACATACACTTCTCAAAAGAATATGTTTATGCAGCCAAATAACACATGAAAAAATGCTCACCATCACTGGCCATCAGAGAAATGCAAATCAAAACCTCAATGAGATACCATCACACACCAATTAGAATGCCAATCATTAAGAAGTCAGGAAACAACAGGTGCTGGAGAAGATGTGGAGAAATAGGAACACTTTTACACTGTGGGTGGCACCGTAAACTAGTACAACCATTGTGGAAGTCAGTGTGGCGATTCCTCAGGGATCTAGAACTAGAAATACCATTTGACCCAGCCATCCCATTGCTGGGTATATACCCAAAAGTCTATAAATAATCCTGCTATAAAGACACATGCACACGTATGTTTATTGTGGCACTATTCACAATAGCAAAGACTTGGAACCAACCCAAATGTCCAACAATGATAGACTTGATTAAGAAAATATGGCACATATACACCATGGAACTATGCGGCCATAAAAAATGATGAGTTCATGTCCTTTGTAGTGACATGGATGAAATTGGAAATCATCATTCCCAGTAAACTATCACAAGAACAAAAGACCAAACACCACATATTCTCACTCATAGGTGGGAATTGAACAATGAGAACACATGGACACAGGAAGGGGAACGTCATTCTCTGGGGACTGTTGTGGGGTGGGGGGGAGGGGGCAGGTATAGCATTAGGAGATATACCTAATGCTAAATGATGAGTTAATGGGTGCAGCAC